>NC_000014.9:62945046-63248076 GCF_000001405.40 Homo sapiens
ATTTAGATCTAGCAAGTATAATTGGCTATTCATGAAGGAGAGAAGGAATAGAACCAACTCTGAACCAAATACAGTTTCGGAAACCCAACTGAATATACGTGAAAATTTCCACTGTAGGTAGATTCAGAAGGTAGATGGTAAGAAGCAGTGAGAGAACATTTTGTTGGAGCTTCCAGTGACTTGCTTCTTAGAACTTATATCGATAGGCCGATAAGACACGGGGTTACCAACTCAGCTAAAGGAATGACTACACCCCCAAAGGAAGACAATGCAGGTGAGCTTACCAGGCCTTTCACAAAGGAATCGGGGTCAAAGCTCTAACACCCTGCATTTTGCTGGCACGTACTTGATCGTAGATCTAACTGGGATGGATTCAAGGACAGAAGATCTTCATCACGACCATCAGGGACATCTTCAATTTCATTCATTCATATGAAAAATTAAGATTGAGCACAAAACTCTTAAGAATTGTTTAGATACTGGGGATACAAGAAACGGACAGAGGCCTACCTCTCATGGAGCTTACATTCTGAAGGAAAAGAAAAACCAAGTACACGTGGGTTCGGATCGTGGTAGGGACAATGAAGGGAAAGGTTAAAGAGTAGAGACTACAGGTTGGCATTGAGGTGTTTTTTTATAGTAGGGTAGCACTGGAAGGAATTTCTGTAGAGGCGATACCGTGGAGAGCCACATGAATTCGGGTCATAGGTCAGGAGAGGAGTGTTATAAGCAATGGGAAAGCAAGTACAAAGACTCTGAGACAGGCCTAAGACTGATGTTTTCAGGGAAAATGAGATGGTGAGCATGGACTTAGGAGGATAAGCCAAGGAAGAATGGTTGAAAGTGAAGTGAGTGAGGTAGGCAGGGCCATATCAGGAAGGCCTTGAAAGATGAGCTAGGGAATCTGGACTTTATTTCACACACATTGGAGGGATTTGAGCAGAGGAATGGTGTGATCTGATTTGCTTTTAAAGGGGCTGCTTAAGCTTTGGGATAGAGATTGTAGGGCAAGCATAAGAAAATTAGGAAGATATAGGAGGTTACTTCAAAAGTTCAGGCCAGAGATGATGGTGACTTGGTCTTGGGTGGTAATCTATGGAAGGAGAGAGAAATAATCAAATGTATTTTGAAGGTAAACCCTACAGGCCATGTTATTAATAGATGTAACATAGAAAAACAGAAATCTAGGATGATTCCCAACTTCGGGGCCTCAGAAACAAAGTAAATAATTGTGTCCTTTGACTCTACATAGATTTTATTTTCCTACAATTCTCTTATGAAAAATATAACTGTGCTAGTACATCCACTCTGTAAAATAGTTTGGCAATTTCTTTAAAAATTGAACATACACTTATCACATGTCCCAGTAATCACATTCCTGGGCACTTATCCCAGAGAACTAAGAACTAATGTCCATATTAAAAACCTATACACAAATGTTCACAGCAGCTTTGTGTTTTTTGTGTGGTTTTTTTTTTTATTTTCAGTTCCAGGGTACATGTGCAGGATGTGCAGGTTTGTTACATGGGTAAATGTGTGCCATGGTGGTTTGCTGCAATATCAACCCATCACCTAGGTATTAACATAGCAGCTTTATTTGTAATAGCCAAAATCTGGAAACAAATACAATGTCCTTCAATAGATGGTGAGTTAAACAGTAGTACATCCTAACCATGAACTACTACTCAGCAATAAAAAAGAACAAATTAATTACTGATACATTCAACTTAGATGGATCTCAGGGGCATTATGCTGAGCGGAGAAAGTCCATTTCAAAAGGTTACATTTTACATAATTTAATTTATATAACATACTCAAAATCACAAAATTATAAAGATGGAGAGCAGATGAGTAGTTTTCAGGGAATAGGGATAGTTGGGGGAAATGGGTAGGTTACATATAAAAGACAGCTTTGTGGTAAAGGAACAGTTCTGTATCTTGATTGCAGTTGTAATTAAAGAAACCTGCACATGTGATAAAACAATACAGAGCTATACACACACATTATATCATTGTCAATTTTGATACTGAGCTATAGTTATATAAGATGTAATTATTGGAGGAAACTAGGTGAAGGTAACAAAGGCCCTCTCCACACTATTTTTGCAACTTCCAATGAATCTATAATTACTTCAAAACAAAAAGGTTTTCTTTTTTAATCTAACTATGCTCAAGTATAAGGCAAAATGTATAAATATTAAAAGTAGTATGGTGCTAAATACAGCCTCTGACAAAATGTTGTCTTCTGAATTTATAAAGTACATTTTTGCCCATACATCTTACCACTTTGTATACGTAGGTATCCATTTAATTAATCATCAGCATCTCTCTCTGTGTATAAGGACATTTTCCTGCTGAAAGCCTCTGGAGCAAACAGCACTTGGAATTCTCACTCTCCCTCTAACTGCAAGCTCTAACCAGCAAATAGAGCCTGCCTGTTCTTGTTCCTATACCTGTACAAGGGTTCATTAGACAAACAGAAGCTGAACAACTGCCAACACTGATGCTTCAATAGCTTTCAGACATTCTAAATGATGAAAACTACCTGCTTAGACTCAAGATATTAACCTTTCATGTTCCAGCAAACGCCCTTGGAGTCCCAGAACTTTTGCCATCAATGTCAAAATCTAAGCCTCTGCAACATGGAATCTCAGAAAGGACAGCTTAGACACACACACACACACACACACAAAAACCGATGACCATGATCCAAAGGCTCAAGAGGCGCTAATAATGCTAATCACACCTTCAGTACAATCTTTTTTATTTATTTATTTATTTATTTTTATTATTATTATACTTTAAGTTTTAGGGTACATATGCACATTGTGCAGGTTAGTTACATACGTATACATGTGCCATGCTGGTGTGTTGCACCCACTAACTCGTCATCTAGCATTAGGTATATCTCCCAATGCTATCCCTCCCCTCTCCCCCCACCCCACAACAGTCCCCAGAGTGTGATGTTCCCCTTCCTGTGTCCATGTAATCTCATTGTTCAATTCCCACCTATGAGTGAGAATATGCGGTGTTTGGTTTTTTGTTCTTGCGATAGTTTACTGAGAATGATGGTTTCCAATTTCATCCATGTCCCTACAAAGGACATGAACGCATCATTTTTTATGGCTGCATAGTATTCCATGGTGTATATGTGCCACATTTTCTTAATCCAGTCTATCATTGTTGGACATTTGGGTTGGTTCCAAGTCTTTGCTATTTTGAATAATGCTGCAATAAACATATGTGTGCATGTGTCTTTATAGCAGCATATAAAGGGGATATCACCACCGATCCCACAGAAATACAAACTACCATCAGAGAATACTACAAACACCTCTACGCAAATAAACTAGAAAATCTAGAAGAAATGGATAAATTCCTTGACACATACACTCTCCCAAGACTAAACCAGGAAGAAGTTGAATCTCTGAATAGACCAATAACAGGAGCTGAAATTTTGGCAATAATCAATAGCTTACCAACCAAAAAGAGTCCAGGACCAGATGGATTCACAGCCGAATTCTACCAGAGGTATAAGGAGGAACTGGTACCATTCCTTCTGAAACTATTCCAATCAATAGAAAAAGAGGGAATCCTCCCTAACTAATTTTATGAGGCCAGCATCATTCTGATACCAAAGCCGGGCAGAGACATAACAAAAAAAGAGAATTTTAGACCAATATCCTTGATGAACATTGATGCAAAAATCCTCAATAAAATACTGGCAAACCGAATCCAGCAGCACATCAAAAAGCTTATCCACCATGATCAAGTGGGCTTCATCCCTGGGATGCAAGGCTGGTTCAATATACGCAAATCAATAAATGTAATCCAGCATATAAACAGAGCCAAAGACAAAAACCACATGATTATCTCAATAGATGCAGAAAAGGCCTTTGACAAAATTCAACAACCTTTCATGCTAAAAACTCTCAATAAATTAGGTATTGATGGGACATATTTCAAAATAATAAGAGCTATCTATGACAAACCCACAGCCAATATCATACTGAATGGGCAAAAACTGGAAGCATTCCCTTTGAAAACTGGCACAAGACAAGGATGCCCTCTCTCACCACTCCTATTCAACATAGTGTTGGAAGTTCTGGCCAGGGCAATTAGGCAGGAGAAGGAAATAAAGGATATTCAATTAGGAAAAGAGGAAGTCAAATTGTCTCTGTTTGCAGATGACATGATTGTATATCTAGAAAACCCCATTGTCTCAGCCCAAAATCTCCTTAAGCTGATAAGCAACTTCAGCAAAGTCTCAGGATACAAAATCAAAGTACAATCTTAAGGTTAGTTTAGGTGTGGATAAGTCATCTAAGTCAACTTGAAGGCGTGAATGATGGTGAAGTCTCCCTCAAGATCTTCAAAAGCAGCTTCTTTGTATGTATTTCCTTTATGTTCTGGTCTTCTGATGCCATCCAGTCACAGTCTGAGTGCAGAGCACATGGTCTTTGTTCCTTTAGGGGGTATTCTACTTCCAAGAACTTGGTACCCAGGTATACCTGTTAAATCCTAGACACTTCTCATTGCTGAATGGGCTTATATTCAGTAATCCTTTCATTCTCTCAAACAGGCATATATTCAACCTAGAGTGGCTATAATGAAGACTAGCTTTATAAACCCTTTCTCCTAGTCTTAATTGTAAAAACCTATACAAAAGTGTATCCTAAGGTCAACTTTAATTTAGGAATTCAGTATTAACTAGAATATTTATAAACAATATATTTCACATCAGATCCTATCTCTTTTTTTTTTTTTTTTTGGAATTTAACACATTACCAACAAAATCTATGGAATGTGCGAAACGCCACCTCTCTGGATGCTGGTCCTGGTTCCTTCAAGAGAGCACTGCTGGGTACACACATTAATATGTTTTTCACACATTATTATGTCCTGAAGAGTAAAATATATTATTTTGCATTTCTATTTTCTAAGGTAGATTAAAAAAAACAATTGCAAATAAGATGGATTAAATACCTTTCTGTAAACAAAGTAGTTCGTTTTCATCCTATCTGAGATTGTAGCCAGGAAAATTGCCAATAACAATAATTTTCAATGAAAAAATTAAAATACTTACAGCCAACCATCATCATAGCCACCGAAAACATCTTCTCCACATCTGTGGTAGGAGCTATGTTTCCAAATCCTATGGTTGTAAGGCTTGTCATGGTAAAGTAGAGAGAGGACACGTACAATGAATCCTTGCTGGGTCCTCCTTCCCATATCCCAGCACTGGTATTGTAGCGATATGGAGTCCCAATGCTCAAAGCCAGCTGGTAGAGCCAACTGTCTATTTGGATGGTGTTAGTGACTTCATCAATGACCTCGTAGTCTCCGATGCTATACCATATGCAGGCCAGCCAGTGGGCCACCAGTCCAAACACACACACCAGGAGCACGAGGACTGCTGCTCCATATTCTAGGTAATGGTCCAGTTTCCTAGCCACACGGCCCAGTCGTAAGAGACGCACCACTTTTAAAGAACTGAAGAGACTGCTGATTCCCTGGATTTAAAAAAAAAAAAAAAATTACACCACATTTTCAGGAAAAAAAAAGGCTGGGGAAACAATACAATGGCTCACCTTCATAAATTTAACCATCCAATTATATATTAAGAACATATGTATATTATAGGTCTGATTTTAAGAAAACAAAAAAGTCAAAATGATAAACTTTAAAAAAATAGATATCTTCCTACCCAAAAATTCATATTTTCAAATTATTAGATAAAACAGATTTCATTAGCTAAGAAATTCCCAATTTATTTTCATAAGTAGAATATAAATGGTACAGAGAGAAACCGAAGATGAAAATTGCTCAAATGCGTTATATACAGAGTATACAAATAGGAGTGTTGAATTCAGACCTTTTATTTCCTTTTCCTATAAAACTTTCCCTCTACTCTAAAAGGTTTCTTTTCATTTCTTATTTTATGATAGCTACAAATAGCAGAACTCTGAAAAAGGAAGCACAGTCTTACAGGCAATCACACAGGAAATACTTTGGTATATATGGGGAAAATGAACAAATACCATTGTTGGCCCCACTACCTCCTGCCACAATCATGAGAATCACTGCATTTCTAGAGCTCTGAAAACGTGAACAGAGCTGAACCTGAAATGGGTGTGTGGCCTACTATCCTATCCATTCTCTAGCAAAAGTCACCAAAAATAACACCAAAAAAAGAACAGCAGCCGGAAAATTCATATTTTGTTGAGAAGCTTAAAATAACAAATAAGGGATTATCCAAATCAAAGCACAGCATAGGCTTTCTTAAATCAATGAAAGTCCCATAGTTACTTTTTTGGAAGCATGTAATAGACCACCTGCAGAGGTAGGATAAGTTCATTCCTGATGCAGTTCACAAAATAGGCAGGGAGGGAAAATGGAGCAGTGATCCAGGAAGCCTCTCATGCAGTCATTACCTGCAAATCCATTCGTATCCATGACTTCCTTACTGCTAACCCTGTCTCCCAGAATGTAGACAAGGAATCTAATATAACTTACTCTGACATGAATTCTGACCAGCAAGGAGGAATTTGTTGTTGCAGTAGAATAGATGTATATTAATAAGACTCTAATTATGCATGTTAAAGTTCCTGACAGTTAAGAAGGAAACAGTTGGCAGGGCACAGTGGCTCATGCCTGTAATCCCAGAACTTTGGGAAGCCGAGGCAGGTGGATCACCTGAGGTCAGGAGTTCAAGACCAGCCTGGCCAACATGGCAAAACCCTGTCTCTACTAAAAAAACTCAAAAATTAGCCGGGCATGGTGGTGGGTGCCTATAATCCCAGCTACTTGGAGGCTGAGGCAGGGGGAATTGCTTGAACCTGGGAGACGGAGGGTGCAGTGAGCCGAGATCATGCCACTGCACCCCAGCCTGGGTAACAGAGCGAGACTCCGTCTCAAAAAAAAAAAAAAAAAAAAGTAAACAGTTAAGAATGCATCTGGTTTGTTATACTATATTCTATAAGACAGCATGTGTTTGAAATTTTTCATAATGAAAATTTAAAAGAGAAAGATAACAAAGAGAAGTAGAAACAAGAGTCCCTATAGAAACAAAGGAGTAGCAGGGTCATCCTGCTGGGTTTCTGCCTCAACTTCAATTTCCTTAGGCCTACCTCTATTTAAGTTGAAACTCTCAAATATTGTAGCATATATACAGCCTAAAAACAAATTCCCATTTCACTTTAACACTTGGGGGAAAAAGATGCTAAACTTTAGTCAGTTAAAAAGAGTAGAATTAATGAAATAAAGAAGACAAATTTGTGTAATTCAGTGACATGAGATGTTGGAAGGCTTGAAAGCTTTCAAAAATGGAACAGTGCAGTCATCAACAAGTAATACAAAAATAAACATTTATGGAGCACTCCTATATGCCAAGTTCTGTTTTAAGCCCTGGGGATATTAAGATAAATATGCCTCACTTCTGCTCTAAAGAAACGCATAATCGAAATACATGAAAAACTCAAACAGAGTTCAGTTTAAAAATAAAAACAATGATGTTATAGATAATATTTTCTGGTTAGCTCAAACTTTTAAAGGAACTTTGGGACTTCTGTTTAAATACTGCATAGAAAAGTCATTTCTACCTGAATTCTTTTCTCTGAAAATAGCTTAAAGCAAAGAGAAGGAAAAACAGAGAGAAAATCTTCACCCCATTCAAACTAAGAAAGCCAACACAAACCCCAACTAGAATGTCATGAGTTAGGACCTACTAGAATGAGGTCCAAATGGTGGGAAGACACACATCCCTCATCTCTAGCAAGCAGATTGCTCCAAAAGGAGGTGACCATCCTGACAGGCCTGCTCTGGATTCTGCTTACTCAAAAGCACATTTTCTAATATTTAGAAGTAGTTTGACACTACTTAAATATTATAAAATGTTTTATGAGCTTAAAAAGCAATAAAACATTAGTAAATAGACATACTTGATATATAAAGTATATATAAAATATCAGTTTTATATAGAGAGAGAGCATTATAGACTCTCTCTGCCACAGGTTTAGAAGTAGTTTGACACCACTTAAACATTATAAAATGTTTTACAAGCTTAAAAAGTAACAAAATATTAGTAAATATACATACTTGATATATATACATAAAGTATATATAAAATATTAGTAATATATACACATATATATCAAGCATTATAGACTCTCTCTGCCATAGGTTCTATGGCACTACTTCCTCTTGGTTTTTAGCCAACCCTCCAACTGACGCCCTCTCAAAATCACTTTCCAGGGCTATCCTTCTCCATGCTTCTATTTCATGTTAGGATTCTCATGATTGCCCTCAGTCCTCTTCTGGTTGATCTACTGCATATCTAGGTTTCAACCATCTTCCATATATGAATCATTCTCAGGTCCACTTAGCACAAAAAGAAACCTCTCTCCTGAGTTATTGATACTAAGCCAAATGTCTGCCGTGCGTTTCCTCTTGGATGTCCCACAGGTATCCAAAAATAGGTCCTAAAGGGAACCGTTTGCTTCTCCCAAATCAGTTATCTTCTATCATGTGAATGACATCATTATCCACCCAGTCACTCAGACCTGGGGCGAAGCCTCAACTTTTCCCATTTCCTGCCACATGTAGCTGGTTATCAAGTCCTGAGGGTCTCACCACTCAAAGTGCCTAAATGCTCAAAATATATCTATTTAATAAATCTCTCAAAAAATTTCCTTCTCTTCCATTCCCATAGACATGTTTGGTCATGATTTCCTGGTTTTTTCTCACTTGTGTGACAGGAACTGCCTCTCCATCAGCCATCCCACCTCCATTCTTGCTTCCTCTAATTCACAGATCACACTACAAGGGCTATCAGTCTCGTATTTCTTTAAAGCACAACTGTCTAACCATGTCCCTCTCTAATATAAACTCTTTTCATGTTGGCTCATTACCTATAGGAATAAATATTAATTTCCAAGTGTGACACGCGAAGCCCATCAGGACCTTGTACCTACCTACCTGCTCAGCATCTCTCCTGCCAATTCCTCCACCTGTTCTCTAGGCTGCTGCCATTCTCAGATAGGAGTAGTTCCCAGAATGTCCATGCTGTTTCATGCTACGTTACAAGTTATTCTCTCTGTTTAAAGGCTTCCTTCCCCCACTCTTAGTGGTTAGGATCTTACATACAGTTTATGACAAATACTCTCTCTTCCATGTGCACTTCCCTGACATCATCTCCCTGCCTCTGCCATCTTTATTGTCATACTCTCCCCCGTCCCCCACTGGGAGAATTCGATATCCTTCCTTTATGTTATCATACAGTTTCTGCACATCTCTATTATAACAATTTTCACTGTCACACTTACTACAAGTCTGTTTGCATGTATGACATTCCAGGAAACTCCTTAAGGAGCAGATCTACTGTCAATTACAAAGCTGGCATATGGTAATATGTTAAGCAGCCAATAATTCAATAAATGAAAGAATAAACTTTTATGAAACAAGCAAATGTTGGGGATCAATTTGGAGGGCTTTGATTAATTACAAACTCAGAATGATTTAACAGTATAATGTAGAGAACAAAACAGTCAATGTAACTTAGGGTTGCATTAATAGAGTATGTCATTGAGTACAAAAGAGAAATTCTCCTTAATCTCTACACTGACTAGGTGTATTACTCCATTTTCATGCTGCCGATAAAGACATACCCAAGACTCGGTAATTCGTAAAGGAAAAGAGGTTTAATGGACTCACAGTTCCACACGGCTGGGGAGGCCTCACAATCATGGAGGAAGGCAAAAGGCACATCTTACATGGCAGCACACAAAAGAGAATAAGAGCCAAACAAATGGAGAAACTCCTTATTAAACCAGCAGATCTCATGAGACTTATTCACTACCACAAAAATAGTATGGAGGAAACACCCCCACGATTCAATTATCTCCAACTGGTCCCTCTCACAACACCTCGGAATTATGGAAGCTACAATTTAAGATGAGATTTGGGTGGGGAAACAGCCAAACCATATCACTAGGTCACACATGTAGGAGATCAGTTGAATATATTCATCAGAGAACTGCCAAAAAAAAAAAAACCCCTCAAAACTCAACTCTATTAGGAAATGTGAAAGGAACTGGAAAAAGGGAGATTGGAGCAGGGCACTATTTATATTCAAATACACAGTGCATGGATGAGGGCTGAGCTCACTCTGTATAATCCTAATGTGGGTAACCTGGAAAAAGGCTGGAGCTACAGGGATAGAAGGATGCAAACAGGATTTCAATGGGCCTGTGCCACACACTTCTATGCAGTTAACCAACAGAAAGTTAGGTCATTTATTGCTACTTGGAAAAGACAGACAAGGCAATAATAACATTGAGTATTTACTACATGCCAGGTACTATTCTAAGTGTTTTCTTTGTATTAATTAAATTAAAATTCAGAACAATCCTATGTGGTACCTATCATTAAAGCATGGCCCAGAAAAGTTAAAAATAATTGGACTAAGTTCACATACATAGTAAGAGGAGGAAGCCAGATTCACATTCAGGCAGTCTGTCTCCAGAATTTTCCTTCGTTCATTCTGAAAGTCTCTATACCTAGAGTATAATGTGTAACTTATCCAACCACATGAATACCTGCAATATTGGCTTAAACATGAGCATTCTCTACATGACTGAATAAAGTAGATTAAATACCTAGCCTCCTCTTTCCCTCCACTCAGTCACAGCAATGGCCACGCAGTAGGGGTCCGTGGAGGCCCTGGAACTCTTATATCTATATAGTCTGCAGTTCTCTAACATGGATCAATTCATTTTGTTTTTATAATAGCAGGATTCCTACCTTCATTGTTCACATGAGGACACTGAAGATCAGACAGGTTGAACGAATCGTCCAAAGACACAGTTAGCAAGGAACAGAAGTATCACTCAGACCCAGTCCTTCAGATTCTGAGTGCATTTCCCACAACAACCAACCACGCTGCAGCCTTCCTGTCCTTACCCCCAATCTCTCCTACATCATTGCTGCAATATTAATCTTCCTGAAAGGCAGCACTGAGCATATCGTCCAAGGGCTTATCACAGACATTAAGCATAATCTCTTGAACAGGCCTCCAATGCCCGCAATCCCATCTCTGTCTATGCTGCCAGGTCATTTCCCTCTATGCCTCTGCATAGCCCTAGTGCTCCAATCAAACCAAACTCCTTTTTGCCCCCAAACATCATGTTGAGCAAAAGGAGCTAGATACAAAAGAGTATATACTGTATGATTCCATTTCTGAAGAGTTCAGAAACAGATGGAACTACTCCATGGGGTTAAATGAGCATAGTGTCTCCCTTTGTTGGGAGAGGGGCAGTGATTACAAAAGGCATGAGGAGACCTTCGGGTTCTGGCAGTATTTTGTTTCCTAACACAGCTACTAATCACTAGGTGGTTCACTTTGTGAAAATTCTTTCTGCTGTACACTTAAGATTGGGATAATTTTCTTTAAATATGTCATATTTAAACATCAAAAAAATGTTATGGAAAACCTAATAGTCACTGATGTGTTATTAAGCTAACATTTCACCACAGTACATGATTCAGATTAATAATTTCTTACTCATCCCATGATATTTGGTGGGGGCGGGGGGGGGCAGGGAGTCATAGCTATCAATGTATCTAAAATAAGAGATTTTCCTTATTTTATGATTCACTCTCATAACCTTTAGATTGGGCCACGAATTGCATTTAATTCCTGTTGGCAAGTTTAATTTCACTTATATGATACTACTAGACAGTTTTAGAGGTTGATCCTCCAAAAATGCCCTTCTTATGTACTTCTGCCTTTTTTATAACAATGTTTTGATGCTGTACTTTCCACCAGTCTTAGATATTCATTGATTTTCTGCTTCATTTCACTCCAAACTTTCCAATCTTTCTGTGCCCTCCTCTGCACTTCAGTGGCTTTCTGCCTCTATCCCAGCCTCTGAGCTATTAGTACACAAATCCCTGAGGTTCCACTGTGGAACAGAATATCAAATACATCAAGTGCATAACAGAACACAACAGGGTGAATGGAGGACTTTCAGCCATCAGCCTTCCACCTTTCTAGCCAATTTCCTTACTTGACAAGCCCCTCAGGCCATAGTAGCACAAGGAACAGTATCCAGGAGACACCTCTGTGCCATTAACCCTTCAAGTCACTTTTGTGGATTCCACATTAAAGAGATGTGAGATGTTATCAGCATAAAATAATATCTTGCAATGATAAAGCCATCCAAAATACAAATCAATTCTCTTATCTGACCGTCGCTA
Organism: Homo sapiens; assembly: GCF_000001405.40. NCBI lineage: Eukaryota > Metazoa > Chordata > Mammalia > Primates > Hominidae > Homo > Homo sapiens. Next base: position 62,957,302 of record NC_000014.9, read on the forward strand.
ATAATAGCAGGTAGATAATTCAGCCAATATTCCTTCCTATTTTCTTCAACTTTCTTGTCCAAGGACACGTTGCAATTAAGTGGAGATGAAAGAGCAGGAATACAGACTTGTCATACCCAGTTGCATGATTTTGCACCTACACTTTGCATTCTCACAATACAATGTTCTGGTAGATTGTTTCAAAAACATAGCTGTGTTTATTTTTCCCCCTGTATCCATACCCCTCTGCAATGTTACTTATAATTCCTCCCATCAAGACAGAGGGTCTGTTTCCTATCTCTTAAATCTAGACTGACTTTAGGACTTGCTTTGGCCAACAGAATGTGATATAAATGACTGCAGCAGATCCAAGCCTAGGCCTCAAAAGGCCTTGCACACCACCTCCACCTGTGGTCTTGGAAGCCAGCCCAGCTGCCATGTGAACAAGACTCACTAGGCTTTGGGGGATGAGAGACCACAGAAGCATCCCTTTGAGTCATGCATTTCAGCCATCCTAGACTACTCAGGCCCTAGCCAACTCAGCGGCTGACCACAGATGCATGAGTAAACTTAGTTGAGATAAGCCAAACCTAGCCTAAATCAGCAGAACCACCCAATTGAACTGCAGACTCATGAGTTGAATAAATTATGGTGGATATTATCTATAAAGCTTTAGAGTTATTTGACATGCAGGAAAAAAGATAACTGATAAAAATGTAAGAAAAGTGCATATGTTACATGCTTATGAGCACAGAATTTCATATTTCTAGGACAGAACACTGGGGCAATATAGATATCGCGTTAATAGAGAGGTCCCATCTTAATACAACATTATCCCAAATAGGAAAGATATGGGTGTGTAAAGTAAGATTTAATATACAATTGTTGGGTGTTATTTATCTGTTATATTCAGAAATATGTTGCTATTATGCTTTGCATGGATTGACGCCAACAAATACTTCATGAGAATAAAGAACTCCAAGTTATTACTTCATAAATCTTATAAATATTTCTAAAAGCCAATCTCACCTAAAACTTAACATCACCTTGGGTGATATCCATGGAGGTGAGCCTTCCAATAGCCTGGCCTTGGAGTTTCTTCACCAATCCATCTCCAACAACCTTTCTACTTCTCCTCAGACACCCACTTTCATGATCAAAATCTAAAATTTGTTATATTCCAAAACTTTCTCCAGCTCTGAAATTTTGAATTGAATCATCCTGCTATCTGATCATGGCTGCTTCTCTGTCAAGATCAATGGCCCAATTACACCAACTGCAAAAGTAGTTTATCCTTACTGAACCTGTAGTCCTTTCCCCAATGTATTAACCCTCTTCATTCTCTACCTTTTTTCTTATATAATCCCATAATTTCAATAACATCAACACCCTAAATTGCTTAGCATCACTGTCTCTTCATTATGCCCACTATCAAAATTCAAGTCCTGGCTCAATTACCAGCTTTCTTCACAACTGTATTATGAACTGCTCAAGACAGTTATACAGTGGGTTCCACTATAAATTCATTACCATCACTTTCAATGCATCTGTCAACTACCTAGCAAGTTTCCTGTTTTTCTTGTAAATTTACCTGCTCACTATATTTCAAGCCTTCTCTACTCTACTCAAAACTCCATCCATACCCTCTTCAACTACACCTTTCCCATAGATATTTAAACATCTCATGTCCCTCTCATTAAGCAAAAAAAATTAACATACCCCCTCACCCTCCTAAATCAGCTATGTGACTAAGCAAATCAGAAACCAAGAAGCATCCTTGCCATCCCTTTCTCTAACATCACCTCACCCAACCTACCTTAAAATCCTATTCATTTTAGAACAATATTTTATCATGGAAAAACTCAAACATACAAAAAAACAGGTAAATAGCATAATAATTCCCCCATTTACCCACAACTCGGCTAGAGTAATTATTAACTTATCACCACCCTTGTTTCTTCTACATCTCTCTTTTAACAGCAAACTCCTGGCCCCACTGGATTATTTTGAAGCAAATCCAAAATGTATAATTTTGTCCATAAATATTTCAGGGTATGTCTCTAAAAGACAACATATTTTTTAATTCAACAAAACTATCACCCATTATCACACCTGATAAAACCTAACATGATTTCTCAAAATCAGCAAATATCCAGTCCACTCAATGCCCACCCTCTCTCCAGCTGGTTTCTTAGAATTAGGACCAAAGAAGGTCCACACTTTGTGCTTTGTTAATGTGTCTCTTAATCTACACATTTCCCTCTCCTTTTTTTAATCTGTTGAAGTCAAATTTATTTATATAAAAAAACAGATTGTTTGTCTTATAGAGTTTCCTAAATTCTGAATTCTGATGTTTGCATCATTATGGTGTCACTAGTATAATCCTCTGTCCTCCCACTTTCCTGCAAACTGGTAGTTAGATTTTGAAACTTGTTCTGAATCAGTTTCCATTATTTTTAAATATTTGTAGTAATAATGTTTTTATCAATACATAATTTTAACTCCTATCTCTCAAATTTATCTACCTCTCACCACCTCCACTGTCATCACCTTAGATCACACTAACAGCATCTCTCTCCTCTATCTACGGGAGTTTCCTAACTGTCAAGGCATTTGTTTAAACCTATTCAATCTGTTCTGAACACTGCATAAGAGTTACCTCTTCAAAATCACTGCTAGTTTAAAATTATCTCATAGCTTCCCACTGTTCTAAAATCTGTTTTGTTTATACAGCCTTGCACAGTCGGGTCCAGGCTTACCACTCTAGCTCCGTTCTCTTCTGCTCACTCTCCATCCAATTTTCAATTCTTTGAATATGTCATTCTCCCTCGAACACAGGGATTATGCACTTGCTGTTCTTTGTAAATGGAATGTTCTATAATTCTTTCTTGCCCATTCCTCAGCCTAGTTGGCTCTATCCATACTTTAAATTATAGCTCAGTTATTGCTTCCTTAGGGAACTTTCACTTTCTGATCTAGATCAGGTCATTTCATTATATAATCTCAAAGGACCATGTACATTCCCTTCATGACACTTGTCTCTTTGTGATTGTGCATGTGTATCATGTTTTGCTCATTCTTTTATCCCTAGCACACTCTAGCACTCTTGGGAACCTAGTGATTTAAAGAATGAAAACATTAATTAAAGAATAACCTAACCAATATATAAATCTCTCATAATAATTTCTGATTCCTCCAGCACTGATACCATAATCAATAATTAATAGCTGCTTAATTTTCACAGGTAGTACCATATCAGGCAACTGGATAGAAACCACAAAACAGTAATAAGCTCTGTTTCATAAGCATTGGGCCCTTATTCTAAATAGATTTTATACATGAATGATTACATAGTCCATTTCCATTTCCTTTTGTAGAGTGCAATTTAAAGACAGAAAAAAAATTGCAAACTACATTTGTTATCTGAACCTCTAACCCAGATAACAAGTTACATTGCTTTTTCCTATTCAGAATTCACTGCTCCAACTCAAGCTACCAAGAGCTCTACGGGGAAATAATCCTAATTACTCCATGGATTAGCTAGCATCCTTCTGTAGAAGATCTGAATTTAAATAACTTGTGCATAAAACCTGTATTAGCCAATTCATATTCTAATTGAAACACAGTGGCATAAATGGCCAGACAGACAGACAAAGAATAGGCACTTATTTTCAGCAATATCCATAATGTAGTAACTTTTAATATGCTTCTTTTTGTAGAAAAGACTTTCATTTTCATATCCACTGGGTCCACAGTGAATATAAAGCTTGATCAAAATATGTACCCTATGAAGAGGTGTATTGCCTAAAGCCCTGATTTTTTTCCAAACATTATGATATGTGTACAAGCAAACCAAATTGGGGATGCTTTAAATCCTTCTTCAATAATTTCTTGCTGCCTTTAGAATAAAACCCAAACTCCTTAACACAACCTACCCCTGCCTACCTCTTCAGACTCACCTTGAGCATCTGTCTTCTGCTCTCTACACTCTGTCATATAGGACTTCTTTCCTACCTTAAAAATATATTCTTTCTCACCTAGGAGATCTCCAAACATGCTGTTTAAAACAATCTCCCTACCCACCAACCGTTTCTTTTGTCTGGTGAATTCCTATGCATCTCTCAGGACTGGGCTTAAAAATGTAACCCCCTCAGAGACACTTCTCCTAACTATCCCCAACCCTGAAAGTTAAGACTCTTGTTTTATAGCATAAATAATTAGTCCAAGAAATGCTGAGGGAATGAGGTAACAGGCAATGAGAGTTGAAGCAGAGTAAGACTGAAGTGGCCATGATGGGCTATGTAAGCAAAGAGACAAAGCAAAAGAGAAGAAAGACTAAGTGAATTTGTCAGGGCTCTCCAGAGAAACAGGACTAACAGGACATGATGGACATGAAAATGGAAATGGAGATGGAGATATGGAGATGGAGATATGGAAATGGAGGTGCAGATGGAGATGGATACAGGGATGGGGATGGAAATGGAGATGGGGATGCTGATGGAGATGGAGATGCAGATGCAGATGGAGATGGAGATGGAGATGCAGATAGAGATGGAGATGGAGATGCAGATGGAGATGCAGATGCAGATGCAAATGCAGAAGGAGATGGAGATGGAGATGATGCAGATGGAGATGGAGATGGAGATGGAGATGCAGATGGAGATGCAGATGGAGTTACAGATGGAGACGGAGATGCAGATAGAGATGCAGATGCAGATGGAGATGCAGATGGAGATGGAGATGCAGATGCAGATGCAGATGGAGACGGAGATGGAGAGAAGATAGAGATGGAAATGGAGATGGAGATGGATGTGCAGATGGAGATGGATACAGGGACAGGGATGGAGATGAAGATGGAGATGGAGATGAGAAGGCACCCAGCCATCCTGAATCTTCTATGAAAATGAAAATGTTGAGGTTGTATTTTTACCTTCAAATACAACCTCCTTGTTTCAGCCCTTTGACCAGGACATCATTTGGTTTATCAGTGCCACACGCGCCTGCCTGATATTTGATTGCATTTGATCAGCAATTAATGCAGACCCTAATCCAGATATAAAAAAATGCTGGAAATCATTCACTATCTCTGATGCAATAGCGTTCATCAAAACTGCAATGGATTAATTAAAACCAGAAATTGCAAATACCTGCTGGAAGAACTTATGGATTGAAGTCATGAATGATTTTAAAGGCTTCCTGGGGATCAATGGAGAAGCTAAGAAAATAATTCACACAGCAAGACAAGTTAGTGAAGAAGAATATGCCAACATACTTGATGAAGTGGAAGAACATATTGAAGGTCATCAGAAGTGCTAACAAATGAGAAACTAGAAGAACTTGTTGAGTCACCTACAGAGGAAGAAGAAGTGAAGCAGAACTAGCAATGTGGATACTATGGAAAGTTGCTGAAGTGTTTCAAATTGTACAGACAATAATGGACAGAATTATGGAATATGATCCACAGATGAAACAAAGCACTAAAGTCTCCTATATGATCAATGAAGGAATACAATTTCTATAGCAACATTTTAATGAGTTTAAAAGAGACAATAATTTCCAACTACAGTGTTCTTCCCAAAGGTTTCAGCAAAAAATAACCTTCAACTATCAAGGATCCCTAATATTGACATTATCTGCTCCTGCTCCTGACATTCAACCATTAATGTTCATGGCTTGATGATCCAGGATCACCTGAAGAATGTAATCATTTTCTGATATATTATCAGAAGGTCAATAGTAGCCTAAAGCTAGGTCACAATGCCTACATCATTCACCCTACTTCATCTCATCATGTAGGCATTTTTTCATCTCACATCATCGTAAGAAAAAGGGTGAGTATAGTAACAATGAGATGTTTTGGAAGAGAGCAAACACATTCACATAACTTTTATTACAGTACATTATAGTAATTCTTCTATGTTGTTATATTGTTTATTTCTTACTGTGCCTAATTTATAAATTAAACTTTATCATAGGTACGTCTGTATAGGAGAAAGCATAGTATATATAGGGTTCAGTACCATCTGTGGTTTCAGGCCTCCACTGGGGGTCTTGGAATGCATACCCATGGGTAAAAGGGAATAACTGTATATAGATGTTGATATTTAGGAAGAGAGAGAGATGTATTGTGAGGAATGGGCTCAAATGATTATGGAGGCAGAGAAGTTCCACAGTCTGCCATCTGCAACCAGGAGACCCAAGAAAGCCGATATTGCAATTCAAGTCCAAAGACCTAAGAACCAGGCCAATGGTGTAAATTCCAGTCCAAAAGCAAGACGAGATGAGATGTTCCAGATCAAGTAGTAAGGCAGAAAAAAGGAGAGAATTCCTCCTTCTTCCATCTCTTTTTCTATTCAGGCCCTCAACAGATTGGATAATGCCCATCCACATTGGGGAGAACAATCTGCTTTACTGAATGTACTGATCCAAGTGCTATTCTCAGCAAGAAACAGATACACCCAGTAACAATGTGTAATCTGAATACCCCAAGGTCCAGTTAAGTTGAGATGAAATTAACAAGCATGCTAAGAAATTCAGTCAAGAGAGAAAAGCATACAGACAGAGTCAGTGAGTCACATTAGTGGTGGGAAACTCAACTAAAGATCTACAAACCCTAAGAAAATAGCTAGAACAGTAAGCAGTCATGTCCTCCAAAATAATTTTCTAAAATATCCCTTTTTTCAACAATTTTAATGACCATATGTGATCATATGGAATGTTAAGGCTATAAGAAAATGATACTGGAGAAAACAATGTCAATGAAAGACTGTGAGATACATGAAGAAGGAGTTCAAAGAGTAGCTCCATTTTCTTTTTCCTCACTTCCCTATACTTTGGCTCAGCTCCTTCCTTTTTTCAGGCTCACTTCCCTAATATTAGAAATTGGCTCTGCCTTGGGCCAAGTTCCCCAGAGCAATCTTGGTCTAGGGCCATACATTAGGTTCTAAGGTACCACTGTTATTTGTGCTATGTGCTGAAAAATATCCATCCTTATACTAAATCTTCCATCACTTGAGGTCACTTGAATCTCTTTCCTTTGCAACTAAAAAGAAATCCTAACCTAACAGCGGCATTTAGCCCATTACATGCTTTCCAACATGTTCACCTCCTCATCACCCCAGTCATTATCTATATCCTATTGCCCCTGTATTATTTTTATTTGTAGAGCATATCACTAGCTGAAATTATACTCACAGACACACACACACACACAATTTAAACTGTCCACATATACTTACTGTCTGTTTTTCCCCCACCAGAATATTAACTCTGACCAAGATGACCTTAACTTGGCTTCTTCCTAAGTCTAGGATCCTGACTTCCCTTTTCTTAGAACATTTATTTAAGAAACTTTCTATCGTAAATTCTTTCTCTGCCTCTTTCAGAGGAAAATCTCCCAGCCTCTTGCCAATTTTATAACCCAGGAATGTCTTTCTCAAAGACTTGTGGGCTATTCCTTTGGAATATAATCATCAAGAAAGATAGTGCCTCTATTTCCTAATGTCTGTAGGAGGGTAGATGTCAAACTTTGATAAGCACCAATTATCAAATGATTAGATGACCTAATCATATTGACCAACATCTCTACACTTGTTTCAACAAAGTTGAGTCCAATCCCTCTCCCCTAGTGCAAAAATCTCTCTCTACTATTGCAACGGTCTTGAATAAAGTCTTTGTTTTCAACAAATGTCTGGTGCAATTTCTCTTTAACAGTTTTATGAAGATAGGGAAGGATTTGTGTGCTTGTTCACTGCCAGATTCCCCAATACTTATAATAAAGGAGTACCTCAATATATATATAGAGAGAGAGAGGTGAATAGATGCATAAAATCAAGTAAGGGATTTGTTTTTTTCATTTAAAGGATGACATTCAGAGAAGAATAAATCCTTCTTATGTCGTTGCTGTAGTTTGCATGTGGTTTGTCCCACCAAAACTCAAGTTGAGATTTGATCCCCAATGTGGTAGTGTTGGAACATGGGGCCTAGTGGGAGGTGTTTGAGTCATGGGAGTGAATCTCTTATGAACGTCTTCATACCATTCTCATGGTAGTGGGTGAGTTCTCACTCTGGCAAGACTGGATTCATTCTTAAAGGAATGGATAAGTTCCTGCAATGGTAGATTTTTCTAGAGCCAGGACACTGTTTGGGTTTTGTCTCTCCTCATATGTCTGCTTGTCCTTTGACTTTCTCCACAAGGTTATGATGCAGCATGAAAACCCTCATCAGAATCCAGGGCCATGCTCTTGAACTTCCTAACCTGCAGAGCTGTGAGCTAAATAGGCTTCTTTTCTTTATAAATTACCCAGCCTCAGGCATTCTGTTATAGCTACACATAATGGACTAAGAGAGCCATCCCTGTATATTTCTCAATGTACCACCACACCTCAGAAGTCAAACCAAATACACAGTCATTCATAACACTAAAGAGCAGAAATTTAACAATTGATCTAGTGATCAGTCCTAGTGATATGTTTACCATATGTACTGGCAGGCTTCTGTACATGGATACTGTGTATTTCCTAAAAATAATTACTTTCTTTGCCATCATAGGTAAGATGTCATTAAATAGATGTTCTTTTTTAAAACTTGTTAGATTTCAATATTGAAGACAAGAAGAAGTGATTCTAAAATTCCAGTAGCATCATATTGAACATAAAATTGAGCAAATCTAAAAATCTGTAATCTATGGTAAAATAATTTTTGCACTGGTTTCCATGATATAGACCTCTTAATTTACTGTGACCAGGACAATTGCAACATCTGTAAAAGTTTTTGAGTAAGGCCATTCACAACTCAGTGTAATCCTGTGTATAAATGTGAATGTAACTGAAGATGACTGATTTTTCCTGACACAATTACCCAAAAACAAACAAATGACAATGGAAACTAGCATCTTCTGAAAGTGCACACTGGGCATTTGATCATAAACTCTGTATTTGTATCTGCAATACTGATCAACTAAACATTCAAACACTACTATCATCGATCATGCTTATTTATCAGTAGACTCAGAAGGGCACAGAATAGAAATCACTGCTCATCAAAAGGGCAGTATTAGCATCCTCTTCCATGGGCATAGACCTCATAGTAGTTTGTGTAGCAGTCCAAAGAGCTATGCTCCCTGTCCCCAGTCTCCCCAAGAAGACAACTTAAAAGTGAGAAAATAAGACTCAGTCAGCAAGTACTGGAGCCATCTTGACTTAAAAGCCTTGAGAAATAGTCTAATCTCACCATCACCACTACTCTCACTCATTCTGGACACTGAAAACTAAAACTCTATCTTACTGTCTACATTAACACGACTTTGGACTATTGTTCTGTCTCCCTTAGCAGGACCTTCTTTCTCCAGGACTCTCCTGCTCAGATAAATGGTTTGATTTTTTTATTACACGAACTTTGCAAAGACCTATTAACTCTTTAGTGAAAAGTATCTGCAGACAGTTTATGTCCTAAGATTCTTTGAATTCTTTCCTTCAAAATCCTTGCCTTGCTGTTTCCTCCAATCCTGTGCTATTGTATCATATTCTTGAACTTTACCCAGTTCTAATAAAGCCCACTCCCCTAGCCACTCCCTGTTTTTAAAAACCTACCTTATATCAAACTTTCGATTCTTAATCCATTCTGTCCTTTTCTTTCCTGCTCTGAGTACACTACTAGAGCTTTGCATGGCAGTGTTCCCTTTTACCGTGGTAAGCAATAAATTCAACTCAGCTTTGTCTTTTTAACAGGTTGTGTTGGTAATGTTTGGGGATGTAGCTTTTGACAGCCTCATGCTCTACCTAATCTAATACTTCTAATAACAATGCCACAGGCAGTTTCAGAGTCCCACAAGAGATATGCTCATATCTGATGGAACTCTGAAAGCTCCATCATTCAAGGAACCCATAAGCTATGGTGTCCTTATCAAGTTATTTATAGTTTATTAAAAGTTCCTCACAGTCTAGATGCAATTTACTGATGAGGGAATTTTTTTTTCCTTTTTGTGGAGATGGGGTCCTAGTATGTTGCCCAGGCTATCCTCAAACTCCTGGGCTCAAGCAATCCTCCTTCCTCTGCCTCCCTGAGTGCTGAGATTACAGGCATTAGCCACCATGCCCAGCCCTTTTTTTCTAAACATAAGTAATATTGCCTAGAAACATAAATGACATGTTCCCTTCATCAGTTCCCAGGGAAGCAAAGGAAGACTGCTAGCCAAAGGTCAAATTCTCAAGCAGAAGAAAAAATAATTTTGTTAACCCTTTACCTAAATATAAACAACACTTCTTAAAGATGAAGAAATTCAATACAAAGACAAACATATTCTTTATAAGTTAGTGTGTGTTGTGTGAAAGCAGGGACATTAGGGAATAAAATGAAGTATTAAAAAGGCTAAATGAAGTAGGGATGAACTCCACTGGAGCTTCCCCAAAAGCAGAGTAACAAAACTATGATTTCTCAAGCATGGGGATAATTATTGCACAGAAAGACAATAAACAGTAACCTCTATGCAAGTATTCATAAGTAGTTAAGGTAAAAACTGTTTAAGAGTTAGCTGTAACATACAAATTCCAATATATTTCAACCTTCTTTGCCTCTATGTTAGAATCATCCCCTGATGCTTAACAATAGGAACAATTTATCATGAATGAAGATCAGTACAGATAAAAAAATTTTTATGTAAACAAGAAAATCAAATAAAGGAAGCTCAATGCTATCCTCATTGCTTGTTATTTCCTTTCCTCTCAAAGCTAATTCCCTCAGTTAGACAGACTGCTTTGTCTCATTGGAAATTCATGCAAAAGAATGTTCCTGCAACATCACCAAACTTTTCAAATCTAAGGAAGTCTATCTTTAAAGCTGTGTATTACCCAACCATGATAACATTCTCTACCAATGCCCACCAGGAATAGAATTTAAAAGCTTAGATGACAGCCATCATGCTCCAATTTGGAACTTGAGGCTGACTCTTACCCTTTCTCCAAATTTTTTCCCTATCTCTTCCTTCACCCTGACCCCTCTTTTATTTACACCTGCAAATAGTTTGTGAGAAAGTCTTTCCCTCAAAGTAGAAAGTAGATATCTGTTCAGAGACTGTGTCTTGTTCATCTTTGTATTTATTTGTATTTATTTGTCCACAATACTTTGCACTCCCAGTGGGAGATCACAGCTTGGAGGCTTAACCCTAGGGTAATCCTTAAACATGTATGGAAAGCTGGTAGGGTAGGTCATCTGACTGGAGGATTATTTACATGACAGCAAAAGAATACTCATGGAAAGCAACTCATGAGAGGAAATGTGAACATAGTGGTCAAAGGATATGCCCTATAGTCTGTGAGAAGAAAGAGTTTAGAGCACAGCTAAGATTATGTCACAAAGGTTTCCCTCTGGCCTTATCTTTCCCATTATTAACAAAAAGCATGTATAGTTAGGAAATGTGGTATGCCTCATTCACTTCAATAGAAATATTTGTAGGCTGGCAATTAGATGTCAGGCATCTTGGTAGGTATACAAATCCAAGATGAGTTAGAGAGACAGAGTGTCTGCTTTGGAGATTCTTCCAGAAACAAGCATAATACCTAACCATTAGCTCTCTAAAGATCTTTGCTGGATTTGAATTATTTACCTGAAGTACAATTAAAGGATGCCAAATAGGGTCACCAACACACCTTCTCTGAGCCTATAGATGAAAGACGAGTAATCCAATACTCAATATAAATATAAATCCAATATAAATATAAATGATTTTCAAATTGTTATTAGAATCACTATATGTATTAAAAGAATAGAAATCATACAATGTCTGCTTTCAGGTCACAATGGAATTAAATTAGAAATCAATAACAGAACAATATCTGAAAAATACCCAAACACTTGGAGATTAAATAACACACTTTTAAATAACACGAGTCAAAGAAGAAATCTCAAAAGAAATTTAAAATAATTTGAACTATACGAAAATGAAAATACAATTTAACAATGCGTAGGATAGGAGATCACAAAATCAGTGCTTACAGGGAAATTTACAGCTTTGAATACATATGCTGGAAAAGAAGAAAAATCTAAAATCAATAATCTATACTTTCACCTTTGCAAACCAGAAATCCAAAGTAAGTCAAAGAAAAGCCATCATAAAAATTAAAGCAGAAATAAATGAAATTGAAAATAGGACATAAATTTTTAAAAATCAACAAAGCCAAAAGCTAATTCTTTGAAAAGATTTTAAAAATCAGAAAACCAAACACCACATGTTCTTACTCATAAGTCGGAGCTGAATAATGAGAGCATGTGGACACAGGGAGGGGAATAACACACACTGGGGCCTGATGGGGGGCTGCCAGGGACGGGGAGGGAGAGCATCAAGAAGAACAGTTAACGCATGCAGGGCTTAATACCTAGGTGATGGATTGATTGGTGCAGCAAACCACCATGACACAGGTTTACCTCTGTAACAGACCTGCCTGTCCTGCACGTGTATCCCAGAACTTAAAATAAAATTAATTTTTTTTTTTTTTTTTTTTTTGGCTGGGCGCAGTGGCTCATGCCTGGAATCCCAGCACTTTGGGAGGCTGAGGCAGGCAGATCACCTGATCTCAGGAACTCGAGACCACCCTGGGCAACGCGGTGAAACCCTGTCTCTATCAAGATACAAAAAATTAGCCAGGCGTGGTGGCATGCGCCTGTAGCATGAGAATCACTTGAGGCTGGGAGGCAGAGGTTGCAGTGAGCTGAGACTGCGCCACTGCACTCCAGCTTGGGTGACTGGGTGACAGAGTGAGACTCCGTCTAAAAAAAAAAAAAAAAAAAAAAAAAAATTAAATCAATAAGCCTCTAGTCAGGCTAACGAAACAAGAGAGAGAGAAGATACAAATTACTAATATTAGAAATAAAAGAGGGGACACTACTACAAATTCCATGAATACTAAAGGGATAATTAAGAAATGCTATGAACAACTCTGCCCACAGATTTGATAAATCTGATAATGAAATAAATCAAATCCTTGAAAGACACATCTGCTAAGACCCACACAAGAAAAAAAATAATCTGAATAGAACTACATCTATTAAAGAAATTGCATCAATAATTAATAACCTTCTAAAACACAAAGCATTAGGCCCAGATAGGTTCACAAGTGAAATTTATCAAACATTTAAGGAATAAATTATACCAATTTCCTCCAATGTTTTCCAGAAGGTAGAGGCAGAAAGAATACTTTCTTGTGCATTTTATGAGACCAGCATTACCCCAATACCAAAACCAGACAAAGACATTACAAGAAAAGTACAAACTAATATCTCTCATGAACATAGATGTAAAAATTCTCAACAAAATGTTTTGTTAATATTTGATTTAAAAAAATTTAATCTAACAATGTATTTTAAAAAGTATACACTGTGACCAACTGGATTTGGTTCTAGGTATGCAAAGCTGGTGCAACATTTGAGAGTCAGTTAATGTAATCCATAACATCAACAAGCTAAAGGAAAATGGCATGATCATATCAATGGATGTAGATAAATCATTTAACAACTCCAACATCGATTCATGATAAAATACTCTCAACAAACTACAAGTAGAGAGGAAATTCTTCAACATGATAAAGAACATCTACCAAAAAAAAGAAAAAAAAAACCCTACAACTAACATCATACTCAAGAATGAAAAACTAGAAGCTTTCCTATTAAGATCAGGAACGAGGCAAAGATGTTCCCTCTCATCACTTCTTTTCAAACTCATCATGGAAATTCTAGCTAATGCAATAAAACAAGAAAAGGTATACTTACTGGGAAGGAAGAAATAAAAATGTCATTGTTCACAGATGATTATCCATGAGATGAGATGATTATCTATGTAGAAAATATGAATAAATTGACCAAAAACCATGAAACTCATAAGTAATTATAGCAAGGTTCCAGGTTACAAGGTTAATACACAAAAGGCAATTGCTTTTCTGTATACCAGCAAGGCACAAGTGGAATTTGAAATAAAAAACCATAATGCCATTTACTTTAGCCCTCCCCAAAATACTTAAATATAAATCTAATAAAATGTGCACATGATCTATGAGGAAAACTACAAAACTGATGAAATATATCAAAGAAGAACTAAATAAATGAAGAGATATTTCATGTTCATGGATAGTAAGACTCAATATTGTCAAGATGTCAGTTCTTCTCAAAATGAACTAGAGACAACAAAAATCCAATTAAGAACCTAGCAGGTTATTTTGTTGATACAAGTAGACTGATTCTAAAGCTTATATAGACAGGCAAAAAATTCAAAATAGCCACTACAATATGGAAGTTGAAGAACCAAGTCAGAAGACTGATGCTATATGACTTTAAGACTAACTATAAAAGTATAGCAATAAAGAGAGTATGGTATTGGAGAAAAAATAGACAATAGATTAACTGATCAGAATAGTGAATCCAGGAATAGACCCACATAAATATAGGCATAAATCTTAGACAAAGGCAAAAAGGCAATGCAATGGAACAAACATAGTCTTTTCAAAAAATAGTGATGAAACAACTGGATAGCCAAATTAAAAAAAAAAGTGAATCTAGTCACAGACCCTACACCCTTCACAAAATTTAACTCAGAATGAATCATATAAAATAAAAAATGCAAAACTATAAAACTTATGGAAGACAACACAGGAGAAAATCTAGATGACCTTGAGTATGACAATGACTTTATAGATACAACACCAAAGGCACAATCCATGAAAGTAATAATTGATAAGCTGGACTTCATTAAAATGTAAAATTCTGCTCTGCAAAAGTCACAGTCAAAAGAATGAGAAGACAAGCCACAAACTGAGAGAAAATATTTGCAAAAGACATCTAATAAAGTACTATCATCTAAAAACTAAAAAGAACTCTTAAAACAACAATTAAAAAAATGCACAAAAGATCTGAACACACATCTTACCAAAGAAGATATTCCTATGAGAATTAAGCATATGAAAAGGTGTTCAGCAATATATGCCATTTGTCAATTGAAAATTTTAAAACATCAAAAGAGATACATTTAAACAGATACCACTACACACCTGTTAGAATAGTCAAACTCCAAAATACTAACACCGCCAAGTGTTGGCAAGGATGTGGAACAACAGAAATTCTCATTCATCGCTGATGGGAATACATAATGGTGCTGCCACTTTGGAAAACAGACAGTTTGAAAGTTTCTTACAAAAGTAAACATAGTCTTACCATATGATTCAGCAATCATGTTTCTTGGTATTTACCCAAATATGTTTAAAACTTATGTCCACATATAAACCTGCACATGAATGTTTATAGCAGCTTTATTCATAATTTTGCAAAACTTGGAAGCATCCAAGATGTTCTTCAGTAGGTGAATGAATAAATAAACTGTGATACATCCAGACAATGATATGTTATTCAGCACAGAAAAAAAAAATGAGCTATCAAGCCTTGAAAAAACACAGAGGAACCTTAAATGCCTATTACTAAGAGAAAGAAGCCAATATGAAAAAGCTACAAACTATCTGATTCTAACTATATGACACTTAGAGAAGGCAAAACTATGGAGACACAAAGGATCAGTGGTTGCCACGGATAAGCAGAGAAGGAGAAAAGAATAAGCAGAGCATGAAAAAAATTTTAAGACAGTAAAACTAATCTGTGTGATGCTGTAATGGAGGATACTTGTCATCATACTTCTGTCCAAACCCATTAAATGTACAAAATCAAGAGTGAAAGCCACTAGAAACGATCAACTTTGGGTGATAATGATGTATTCAAGTAGGTTCATCAATTGTAACAGATGTACCACTCTGGTGTGGGATTTCCATAGTGGGAGAATCTATGCATGTTTGGGAGCAAAGGGTACAGTACATGGGAAATCTCTGCACCTCCTCAATTTTGCTACAAACCTAAAAGCGGTCTTAAAAATTAAAGTCTATTTTTAAAAAGGCTCACACTCTTTACAAAGTTAGATTTAAAAGCAGATTGCTTAGGACTTAATGTTGGCATGCTATCATCAGCTGTGAATCACAGTGAAAAGAAAAATCAACTAATTCCAAGAAGGATTGGGTAGCGCTATGGTTTGATTGGTTTGTCCCCTCAAATATATATGTTAAAACTTAATCCTCAATGCAATAATGTTGGGAGATGAAGACAAATAGAATGTATTTAGGTCATGAGGGATCTGCCCTCATGCATGGATTAATGCTGCTATAAAAAGGGCTTGCAGAAGCGGTGTGCTGTCTTCTGCTACATGAAGACACATTTGTCTTGTTTGCTCTTCTGCCTTCCACCATGTGAGGACAGCCCCCACAGGACACCACATGCCAGTGCCTTGGACTTCCTAGTCTCCAGAGCTGTGAGAAATAAGTTCCTGTTCTTCATAAATGACCCAACCTGTGGTATTTTGCTATGGCAGCACATAACAAACTTAGACAGGCAGTATTTATATGGATTTAATAAGATTAAAACTAGGAAAACAAACAGAAAAATTAGGTATATCCTAGTTATACCACTGAAGTATTATTTTAAATTATCTATACACTTTAATGAAAAGGTAATGGCAAGCCAACTATATTAAATAACAATTTCTAACATGTTATTCTTTGTAGAAGGTCTGAGATGGCAAGCAAAAGGGAAAAAGAGGATTCTAAGCTGACAGAAGTTACTGAAGTCTAGAAGCATAATTAGCCTTCCTGATTTCCTGTTCTTGTTTTAATGACTAGATCAGAAATAAAAATTATTAACGTAATTATACAGGATAAAGTGAAATGATGCATGTGGCAGCTTGACAAGCATAATTCATGACAAAACAATAATTTAGAAAATTATCTTCCATAAACTTTTCTGAAAATTAAAAGTATTTATATACTTCCACTTAGCAGTCATTGTTCTATTCATTCTTTCTCCTAAAGCAATGCATGAGTTATCTTTTCCCAATTTCATTTTTGACCTAGTTTTTATGTTTATCACTTATTAAGACTACTCATTATCATCAAAATTCCCCATGTTTCATATTTCCTGAATCCTCCTATGCTACCAAACAGCGTGTTATCTGCAGCTGCTCCATCTTTGATGATGTTCTATGGCTCAACTCCCTCTAATCTCCCCAAAATCAAGCTCCCTGAACCTCCCAAAGCTGTATTCAAATGCATACTACAAAGAAGCTCAATCCTATTCTTTGGATTCTTAGTGACAACATTCTTTTACCCTCTGTTTACAGCTTTTAGAAAATTTATGTTCCTTCTTTTCAAACAGAATGCCTTCTTTAATGGAATCTGTCTTTTCTGCCTCACAATTTTCTTAAAGAATCACATATTCAGTTCATGAATTCCTAGTAAACCAAACTACCTTCAGAGAGCGTGTCGACAATCTTGAAAATAAAGAACGTTATTAAGTCTTCTAAGTCATTCTGCACTTACATCATGTAAAAGGATTATATCGTAATTTTCAGACTCATATTCTTTCTTATTCCCAAGTCACCATTAATGTACTTCCTCTTCAGGTCTAAGTTCTATTTTATTTTTATGTCATTGTGCAATTTACTAAAACCTTGCTAACATTTTACTGCTTCAGGTCAATAAGTCACCAGTATGCCTTAAGAGCAATGAAGAAATACCAAGGAGATGGAAGACACATTCTTCACCATCACAGGATTTATAATCCAGCTGAGGAAACAAACACATACAAATGAAATAATAATACCCCACCAGATTTGCAGAATTCTACAAGCAAAATATATTAGTATCCCTTTTCCCATTTATTCCTTATAATCACCTTGTGATATAAGTAATTTAGCTATACACTCCTTTCCTTGTTTTACATCATGGAAACTGAGAACCAGAGTAACCCTCTCAAAGTCTCAAAACAAACATGTCCTAGACAAGGCACAAGACTCCAGAACATCCAACAGCTGATATAGTGCTTATGAACACACACAAATCAACAAAAGAAAAAAATATTTTTAACTATATTAAGGCGCATACATATACATAAGTGAACATGAAATATGGTGAAGATATTAATTAAAGCTGCTTGGGAATGATGCAGGCAGGCTTCCTGAAAGAAATATGTTCCAGAAAGGTGAATGTTATAATAAGGGGTAATAAAGAGCCAATCTATAGGAACTGACCCAGAAAAAAGGCAAAGAATGCATAAAATAGTATGAATGAAGAAGCCGATAAACGTGTGGATAAATCTAAATAAGAATTGACAATTAAATATTAATAAAACAATCACATATTAAAAGGAAAAAATTAAAAATAATGTAGATCCAAAATAAAAGACAATAATAATTTGAAAGATGAAGGGGAACAGAAGTCCTTGAATCAAATGAAGAAAGGTAAAGATACTTAGAAGCTTCTGGAATCTGTTAAGTCAAACACTGATGTTAAAAATGTAAGAGTAATCGATTAACAGAAAAAATTCCAAACCAGTAGGAGGAATCCAAGAGATTAAAGGAAAGTTCAATCAATCCAAAACCTGGAAAAACAAAAGGAAAAAGAAAACACCAAAACACAAAGGTAAGAAAAGGCATTTAAAAATAGAAAATAAGATGTACTAAGTAAATCAAAACGTAATTAATCACAATCAATGTAAACAGATTAAACTTGCCTGTTAAAGAGACTTTCAGAATCTATACACTACTCATAAAATATATATCCAGAAATATACGGATCAAATACACACCAACCATACAAAAGCAAATTTAGCTATAATAGTATTAAGCAAACTAGACCTTAAGCAAGAAAAGCATTATTAGGGACAAAGAGAGTTAGAAAATAACGTGGAAGAAATCTCCCAGAAAGTGTAGCAAAAAGATAAAGGATTAGAAAATAGGAGATTTAAAAAAAAAAAAAAGGAAATTGGCCAGGTGCAGTGGCTCACGCCTGTAATCCCAGCACTTTGGGAGGCCAAGACGGGTGGATCATGAGGTCAAGAGATCGAGACCATCCTGGCTAACATGGTGAAACCCTGTCTCTACTAAAAATACAAAAATAAAATTAGCCAGGCATGGTGGCAGCGCCTGTAGTCCCAGCTACTCAGGAGGCTGTGGCAGGAGAATGGCGTGAACCCAGGAAGCAGAGCTTGCAGTGAGCCGAGATCACGCCACTGCACTCCAGCCTGGGTGACAGAGCGAGACTCCATGTCAAAAAAAAAAAAAAAAAAAATTACAGGACTGGTCTCATAGGTACAGTATCTGAATAAAAGGAGTTCCAGAAAGAAAGAAAATTTAGAAAAGGTCAGAGGGCTGGAGAAAATCATAATAGGAAAAAATATCAAGACAGTAGTCATGCTTTTCCAGGCTGAAAAGGACCACCTAGTTAACACCCATCAAAACTGATGAAAATAGATCTGCACAAAAGCATATCTTCAGAAAGTTACAGAACCTTAGGACAGAGAAGGTGTATGAAACTTCCAGAAAGAGAAAATAGGTCACATGTAAAGGAACAGAAATCGTAATGACTTCAAGTTTCTTATCAGAATTACTGGAGGAGTACAATGGCATTGTATCTTTCAAAATTCTGAAGGAAAATTATCTCTAGCCAAGAATATTATAGCTAGCTTAACTATCAATCAGGTGAAAGAGTAAAGAGAGGTTTGTTTAAGAAAATGATATCGATAGAATACTTCTTGCATCAATGTAATGAAGGGAGATTTAGATAATTGTCAGAGAACTTTGTGGTTGAATTAGTGATAAGAACATAGAAAACATAAAATCAGACAGTTATCAGCTCCCAGAAAAATGGAAAGTGCAGAAAAAGAAAAGTAATTACAGCATGCTGCAAGGATCAGCTATAAAATGCATATTTGCAGTCATAACAATATCAACACTTGGCCAGGCCCAGTTGCTCACGCCTGTAATCCCAACACTTTGGGAGGCTGAGATGGGCGGATCACTTGAGGTCAGGAGTTCAAGACCAGACTGGCCATCATGGTGAAATACTAAAAAAATTTAAAAAAAATTAGCCGAGTGTGGTGGTGCGCGCCTCTAGTCCCAGCTGCTGGGGAAGTTGAGGCAGGAGAATCGCTTGAACCTGGGAGGCAGAGGTTGCAGTGATCACACCACTGCACTCTCGCCTGGGTGACAGAGCAAGACTCTGTCACCAAAAATAATAATAATAACAATAATAATAATATCAACACTTAATATTTATTGAATCAAAAGGATGATATATTGTGAGAATGAGGTGATGAAAATGGTGCATTTAAATAGTGAGCGAAAGTAGAAAGGGGAGCTAAAATCTCACCTTTCATGTTGAGAAGTCAAAGACAAAACCTAAAATTGACAAACCAAGAGGTAGATATGTAATCGTGTTGTTTGGTGACATGGAAGCAAATAATAAAAGAATCCCCTGAAAAAATTTGAAAATGGTTGCCTCTAGGGTCTTCTCTTTTTTAAAATGAAACATTGCCAACTGTTCTTTATAGAGATTTTACCAATTCATTCTCCCCTGAGCAGTGTATGAGAGTGATATGCCACATCCCACTTGATCAATTGAGGTCCTGTAAGGAGTAGATGCCAAGCCAGGGTTATTTACGCAAGAATTTTACTGAGGTAAATGCCTGGGAAGGACAAAATGGGGAGGAGGGGAACACGAAGAGCCTTTGGACTACAATGCAGTTCTAACACCTGTGAAAGAGGGAAGGAAGACTCAGGTAGGAAGAAAAAGCTTACACTTTTACACAGTAAATGGATAGTCCCAGAGCAAAAGTTGCAGTTATGGACAAGTTATAGTATTCCCACCATACTCAGACACTGACGGGGAAGAGCCCTGGGGAAATGTGTGAGCCCAGCTTCAACATGTGAGCTGCAGGAGATCAGAAAAGGCAGCAGCCTTCAGTTAACTGTGTTCAGTGATGTGTTGGAAAATGATTAACAACTAGCTCTACAGAAAGTTTTTTAAAAAGGCCTTGATTTGTAGCTTTTGCTACTTTCTGTAGTGTAAATACGCCCACTGTGGCTAATTTCAAGCTACCACTGTGAGATCACCAAATGCTGAGTCGAGAAGAGATGGTAACAATAGGCTTTCTAAAGCCAGGAGCTGGACCCAGGGTGCCGCTGACCGTACTCCACACAGCACGTGTTGATGAAAGGAGATTTGAGCGGTGTGCCTACTTAGCTACTACACTCAACAGCCTAGTGTTCTAACGTAGTTTCGGTCTTTGCAGCGTGATAAATGAAAATTGTATTTAGTGTGGCGGGCACCAGTAGTCCCAGCTACTTGGGAAGCTGAGGCCGGAGAATGGCGTGAACCCGGGAGGCGGAGCTTGCAGTGAGCCGAGACAGAGCCCCTGCACTCCTGCTTGAGCGACAGAGTGAGACTCCGTCTCAAAAAAAAAAAAAAAAGAAAGAAAATTGTATTTAGTGTGGATTTACTTTGCATTTCTTGAATATGAGCTAAGTTGAGAGAATCTTTTAATATATATTACATAATTATAAATGTATAAATAAAAGTATTACATAGTTATAAATGTATTATTAAACAATATATTTACTGTAATACTAATCAAGCCAATCTTTTGATTATTTTTAATTGACAGAAATAATTGCATGTATTTACTATGTACAACATGACGTTTTAAAGTATGTATGCATTGTGGAATGACTAAATCTAGCTAGTTAACGTATGTGTTTCTTCACAGTTATCATTTTTGTGGTGAGAACACTTTACACCCACTTTCTCAGCATTTTTCCAGAATGTAGTACATTGTTAACTATAGTCACCATATTGTATAATAGATTTCTTGAATTTAGTTCCATCTAACTGAAGTTTTGTATTCTTCCACCATCTCTCCATTCACCCCACCCCTTGGTAACCATTATTCTACTCTATATGAGATGAACTTTTCTAGATTCCACATGAGTGATTGCCTTTATTAAAATCTTTAGGCCTATACTCTAAATAACTAAAATCTCAATGTATTAATGTAATAATCTGTGTAGTGTGCAAAACATAAATACTGCTTATTGTCCCCTATCATGTGATTTGTATTTTCAAAATTAACTCCTTTAACTCACTTCAGAAGATAAATTTGAAAAAAAAAATCTTTAAAAGCTTGATGTAGGTGGACTCAAAACTTGGAAAATGAATTATTATGATTTTTTTCTCATAATTTATAAAGTAATAATTACATACACAATATCAAAATACAATGTCTACACTTAAATTTGGGGGAAATAATATTTATATTATTATAGTTGGTTGAACGTAAATATTTTATAGAAAAAGTCACTGAAGAAAAGTTTCAATCTATCTCCCAACACACATAGAGAAATAATATATTACAATGTATTATAATAATAATAACAACAGAGTAAAGAATTTTCCATCTGAGCAGTCTACAGACTAGAATCTATAGGAACATCTTAGGATAATTAAGTTAGTAATATTATCATAATGAACATATTTTAATAATAGACATATTCTATATTGACTCTTCTATATATTATGAATTGAAATTACTGGTTGTATCCTATTAGCTTGGTGTAACAACTTAAATATCATCCACTATTAAGTTAGAGCCTGAGAAGCTGTGGATGAAGTGGTCTTTTAAGCTTCTACATATTTTAAGTACTTCTAGGTGCACTGATAACACTGAAGAAGCAGAGCCTTACATGAGACAAGACATCAGAAGTCATCTGATATGGTTTGGCTCTGTGTCCCCACCCAAATCTCATCTCAAATGGTAATCCCCACATGTCAAGAGAGGGACCTGGTGAGAGGTGATTAGATTATGGGGGCAGTTTTCCCCATGCTGTTCCCGTGACAGTGAGGGAGATCTCATGCGATCTGGGGGTTTTAAAAGTGGCAGTTTCCCCTGTGCTCCTTTTTCTCTCCTGCCGCCATGTGAAGAAGGTCCTTGCTTGTTTCCACCAGGATTGTAAGTTTCCTGAGGCCTCTCCAGCCATGTGGAACTGTGAGTCAATTAAATCTCTTCTGTTTATAAATTACCCAGTCTCAGGTTGTATCTTTATAGCAGTGTGAAAATGGACTAATACGTCATCCAATATCCACAAATATATTCAGACAAAATGTAAAGCAAAAGCTATGAGGAAGAAACCAAAGTGGCAAAAATTCAAGAATTGCTGTTTCATAAAAGTTTCTTTATCTTTATGTTAACTCTACCATTGTTATCATATGTGTCTTGAGAGGAGGAGTCAAAAGATCTGTGAATGAGTAGTTTTCAAATGCTGCAGCTTTTCAAAGAAAATACATCTATTTATTAGGTTGTTATAAAAGTAAATGTGGTTTTTGCCATTAAAAGTAATTGTGAAAACCACAATTACTTTTGCACCAATCTAATATCTTCTTTCAATCAATTATGTAGTTTGTGAACTGTAGTTGACTTCAAATGCCGCCGCTTTTCTTCTCCTCCACTTCTTCCATCCACAAACTCCAATTCCCAGTAATTAGTACTTTCAACCAGATATCAAGGAGAAGAAACAGATGAAAACTAATTTAAGGTAATCAAATATAATAACTTTTGGCAAGGGTTTCAAGAAAGTTGAAAGTGGTGGCTAAAAAGAGGTTTGGATTATCTGTGGAATCCATTTATCCTGATGTTTTCAAAATATATGACCCACAGTACTCAGAAAACCAAAACGAAAAACTTACCTCATCCACATTTTCAAAGGCATTGATGATGTCATAAGGTAAACAAGACAGCAGATCGATCACAAACCAAGTTTTCAGATAGTTCATCCTTATGAGCTTAGGGTCAGAAATGACCTCTCCACCGGGCCCCACGAAAGTCGTGTGAAAATTTAAAACGATGTCAACCAGAAAAATAACGTCCACCACACTATCCAGTACCAGCCAGGCTATGTTGTTCTGCTTTGTTTTGAAGGAAACATTATAAGGAACCATAATGGCGGTGTAGAAGGTAAGAATTAAAATCACCCAATCCCAAGTAGTTTTAAAAGCACAATAATGTAAAATAATGTGTGGTGGCGTCTTTGGCGCTTCTTGTTTATACTGAGGAAGGATATCTGATCCCAGCTGAAGAACCTAAAAGAGAGAAAATGTATTTATACATGACTAGGTTATCTCTGCACAGTCAGTGATGAATTCAAATCTACTGGCAGTCAAACCACAGCCAGTCATGCTCCACAGTCTTGCCTCCCTCTTCTCCTGAGTTGTCCTAAAATTTGTTCAGAGGAAGTCACTCCAAGTCCAATCACTCTACCAAAGCTGATCTTTCTGCTGTTCTATCTGGCATGCTCTGATGCAGTAGCCAACACTGATCCACAACACTGCTGGATGTCCACTTCTGCAAGTGCCTCCTGCACACTCACTCTGCAAGCCTGCCTAGAATCACATGGCTCTCATGGACTGTCCAGCAGTTATTTGGGTGAGACACCATTATCTATTCTTCATACACATTTAGCACCTCAGGAAGCATAACTTTGATTCTGATGGCCTCGCTGGACCCCGGCATCCCACTGTTGGTGATGCTGTTGTTGAGTGATACTCAGCAAGGGCCCTGATGGGTGGCACAGCAGTGTAAAGGGTTGTAAAGGGTATCGCCTGCTTTTTCCCTTCCTCCCTTAGATCTGGACTTAAAGAATATTGTGTTTCTTGCCCAACTGCAAATTTCCTTTAGGGAAAAAAATATTAAATACTCAAGTTTGTTTCTGTATACCAATTCAAATGGAAAAATTTTAGTGTAAGTTTATATGAACCTTGAGTTACACTAATTAAGTCTAATTACAGCAGAAAACAAAGATAGAAAGCAGATGACAGAGCAAGAGTAGAGGTTTGTGTATCCCTGGGCAAAGGTAACCAACACAGGACATAGCATTGCCTTCTGGAACCTGGAACCTGGGAATTATAAAAAACAGTTGAGGCGAGATCACGAGGTCAGGAGATCGAGACCATCCTGGCCAACATGGTGAAACGCTGTCTCTACTAAAAATACAAATATTAGATGGGCGTGGTGGTGCGTGCCTATAATCCCAACTACTCAGGAAGCAGAGGCAGGAGAACCACTTGAATGCAGGAGGCAGAGGTTGCAGTAAACTGAGATTGTGCCACTGCACTCCAGCCTGGCGACAGAGCGAGACTCCGTCTCAAAAAAAAAAAGACAGTTGAAGGGATAAATCAAAAACTTCTGCCCTGTGCCATCAATGAAGCCAAAGACAATGTATGTGTTAAAGAGTTTGGTAAATGGAAATTTTTAAATATTTTCAACAGATTTGCCCATTGTATGTATTCAGTTATTCAGTGTCTCTAGGACTAATGGGACCCAGAAGGTAGGAGTCAAAAAGGCCAAATCATAAAATCATAAATGCATTAAATATTTAGATGTAAGAATGGATAAAAATAAAAATACTTGTTAGCATGTAACTCTGAGTTATAATATATGCCACAAAACAAAACAAATATACTAGCATCTTTGGCAGCTTGGGAGAGTATCCTAAAGTTCCTCTCATATACAGAACTTACATATCTGAAAACTAAGAATATAATATCCATTTTTACTATTTTTGATATGGAAAACATCACTGGTGGTCCCTTTAATTGTATGTTAGAATTGTTATTTTTATTTTGGTGTTTGTAAGAATACTTATAAAGATATTTTATGTATTTGCCATTATCAGTACCTCAGTTATGTTTTTCCCATGATGTCTTAAATTACTTAACAGCAAATCATCCTACCAGGAGGTAAGATTCATGTTGGGGTGAAGTATTATACAATTGTACATAATCATGTCTTTTCTTTTGCTTTTCAACTACTGGCCTGTCAATTCCAATTTCATTGTGTTAAACATGAAAATTGCCTTCATATTCAATGTTAGTAGTTTACCATCTATATATACACAGTCTATGTTTAACCACAAATAAATCAAACTTGGGAAATAAGAACAAACTCAGTACCAGGGTGCATTACCACCTTCGTGGACCCTAAGCCTTTGTGCCTTCCTAGACTCCTTCATGGTGAAACCCCGTCCTACTAAAAATACAAAAATTAGCCGGGCTTGTTGGCACGTGCCTGCAGTCCCAGCTTCTCTGGAGGCTGAGGCAGGAGAATCACTTGAACCTGGGAGGCAGAGGTTCCAGTGAGCTGAGATCACACCACTCACTGCACTCCAGCCTGGGTGACAGAGCGAGACTCAGTCTCAAAAAAAAAAAAAAGTGTGTATGTATATATACATATATATACATATGTGTGTGTGTGTGTATATTATAACAGATAAATATATTAATATCACACATTCAGTTTTTGTTTTTACCTAAAATTACCCTGTTTTCTTCTGCTGTTAATAGAAATTGAAACATCCTATAGACCCGTAAAAGTGTTGTGGGGCCCTGGACACTGTGCCTACTGTGCTGACAGATGTAAGCCCTGCTCAGTAGCCTGGATTAATGCAGGTCTCCTCTAAAGATGGAATGGCATCACCCTGAGTTCAGAAAGTCTTAAACCTGGCTATATATTAGAATCATCTGGGGAAGTTTTAAAAGAATACAGTATACTTATACCTAGACTCCACCCTGGAGAATGATTAAATTGGTCTTGTTTGGGTTCTCAGAGAATCTATATTTTCAAAACCTTCCCAGGTGATTACAATGTACAGCCCAAGGTAAGATATCTGTCTTACATTTCTTTAGACATTCAGGACCCAATTCTCTAGACAGTGATTTGCATATGTAAAGCCCTCCAAAAAAATGCAAGATGGGGACAAAAAGGAGGAGGAAAGGGTAGAGGAGGACAAGGAGGAGGAAGAAGAGGAAAATGGCAACAACAAAAAACAGTGCACAAAAAATAAGCTTCATCTTTTTCATATGCAAAGCACTACTAATCTTCACTCTGTTCCTGGGCTCTTTCATAAAACAGTAACAGACTCTTCATTTTCATTGTTATGTCATTTGTGCTTCTATAAGCAATAAGCCTTTGGTGGAAGGAGGATGAAATCACATTTTTTGATGTATTTTTGTACCAATACAGACACATTCTTCCTCTCTGAAGATCTGAGAGCATTGACTCTAACAAAGTCAGGCCCACTGACTGATGTGGCAGGGCGTATATATTTATCTCTACCCAACATAAAAGTGAACAAGCTAAAGGCAATCAGCAGGGTGTCAATGCACGCAGAAAATTAATTAACTACCTTTATGGAGACTGGAATCTTTGAAACTGGGGATCAGCTCCAAATTTGGGGGATCAGGTAGAATTGAGATCAAATTTATCTGTCTTTGAAAAAGTAAAAGCACCTCAAATTCCATAGCTAAACCAAATACTTGCATTGAGCAAATTACAAGAGTTTTGAGTACCACTGGAAAAACAACATTGTTATACTTATTTGGTATTTCTTTTATGTCTATCTTTGGAGATCTAAGAGCATGCGCTGCAGGTATTCAGACTAAATGTCTATCGACAATCTTGTTATTTCTGTATGCTCTCTGAAATCGACCCTAAGATCTGACAGAAAGCAGTTTTATATCAGAACCAGGTTTATGAATAAGGGATGACTGGTAAAGAAACTAACACTAATCACAGAGCAAAGAAAAAAAAAACAGATGGGATGAAATAGGAATACGTTTCTCAAAAATAAAAATGAGAAAATGTCAAGGGGAAAGTTTCTTTCTTTTCCGTTGATACAGTGAAAAAACAATTCTGAGTGATTCTGGGTGCTAAGGGAGAAGATTGTCTTCTCTATGGCCCCCTTTCACTTGTTGTCGCTCTGTTGTGTAACAGACAAAAGAAAAATCCTGAATCAGGTGTGGTTAAGACCCCAAAGGAATCATGACTATAAAAATTCACAATCACAGAAACAACCTCCTACATTTCAGCTTGATTTGCAGAAAGAAACAGGCAACTTTAGGCAGAAGAGGAACTAGCTCCAAAATCTAAGCATTTTTGCAAAAGAAAGTTGTATCTCATTGTCTGCTTTAAATCTTGTACTAATTGCATATTATCTTTTAAATATTGTGATTATTATTACTAGTTAATATTTAGTTATATTAATGTCTTATTTTGGTCTTCAGAAACATGTCTGCACATCAAAGGATTCATCTTTCCCCAAGCTAACAGTGCTATTTAGAGCAGAAAACCAAAAGTCTTTTTGTTAGCCATGGTCTAAGAAAAACTCCATAGTCTTCTAAATTCAGGGAACATACTTTACTTCCTAATCCCCTCCAAACCAGATTCAATATTTACGACAAGTTAAGAAAATTACTCTGAAGTGCTTCGACTCACTTTTCTGCAGCAGAGAAAACTGATAAGCGTATGGATTTTATCTTTCTCTTTTTTGGTAAAAGTTACCTGAGAATATTTTGTGAGTGCAAACGTAGTGCTCAGCATAGTTTTGGTAGCTTAATGAGCTTTTTGGCATCTTTCATACCAGTAATACAAATTATGGTTATAGAAGACATGTGAACAATAAAGCTATTAGCTGCCTCAGAGTTCTGTCCTCATTTTTTTTCTCCTTAGTCTCAGGGTAACATCGTCTAGTCACATGACTTGAACAGCCATAACTGTGAAGATGACACTGAAGCCTACAATTCAAACTCAAATATCCTTCCAGAGTGCCAGACCCATAAATCTCCCTGCTGTTCAGGCATCTCCACTAGGGCTTCCTATGGGGCTCTTCAAACTTTGTATGCCCCAAACTGAACTCATGATCATTGTCCTCAAATCTTCTTTCCTTCATCTTACATTCGTCATTTTATTAACCAACAGAACTATCTACCCTGTCATCTAAATCAAAAACATAGAATTGTCCTGGACTCAACCCCTTGTTTCACACACTATTCTAATGTATTAACAAATGTGTTCACTCTAATCTTAATGTGTCTGCAATCCACCCACTTCTGCTACCACTATCCTGCTGACAACCGTGGTCATGCTAACTTACTTACTGCTAGGACTTCCTCACTGGTTTCCCTACCTCCCCATTCTCCACAGAGCCACTAGGCCAAGCAGGAGTTTTTAATCATTTTGTGCCTTGGATCCCTATGGCAATCTGGTAAAAACTATGGACCTCTTCTTAGAATAAAGTTTTTGAATTAACACAATAAAAACATGAAATTGCAAAAGAAACCAATTAGGACCCACCTCCCTTTGAGAGGTTTTTCTGAGGCACAAAGGTCATTTTCCTGGCACATGAGACACCAACCACCACCATTTCACTATATGCCACCCTACCTTCTCCTTCCCCATATGAGTTCAACTACAGTAAAGTCATACTCAACGTCACCATACTACCTCATCTCTGACCCTTTGTACATGCTGGCCTCCCTGGTAGGAATAAACTATATCCCTTCTTTACCTGACTAGCTCTCACATTTTCCCTTCAGAATTCACTCAGCCCAGGTATCATCTCACTCACACAGCCTTCCCTAGGGCCCCACATTTGGGCAAATTCTCCTGCACAGGCTCCCACAGCACCCTGTCATTGCATCTTTTCACATCTTATGATCAGTTTCCTCTGCTGGATATTTAACTCCTTGATGACAGGGCCCATTTCTTATTTAACTTTACATCCTTTGCAGAGTGCCAAGCACAGAGCATACCCTGAATATGTGTTTGCTGCATATATGCATGAAGCAATGAAAGAACTCCCTATCTGATATGCTCAAAGAAAACCTTACACTCTACAGACATGACCTGGGATGTCATGAGCTACACTCCCATTTCAAAAGTTGGAGAGAATGAATAGAAATATTTGGGATTTCTATATTTCTACAAGGGAAACATAAATTATCAGCTAAGTATTTATAAGATCATAGCCAGAAATATCTATATTAAATCATTTTAGGGAAGAAAAATGTACCAACACCACCATCTTGGGAAGCAAAATTCATCTCATACTTACTTCAGCTAGTCTTGAATGTTTATGGACCACCTCTGTTTTATTCATTGGCGTGAGCTGCTGCAAAACACTTCGGCTATTTGTCAAAGCCCGTGTCAATCGGGCAAATTTCGTCCAACCTTAAAAATAAGGAAAGAAAGTCTCAGTTTTTCATACAAATGAATAAGGAATCCAACATTCTTGCTAGCATTAAAAAGATCTCAGCAACCACATAACATCCAAAATGAATGCAAAGTATCAAACAAAAGTATTTTCTTTCCTTCTGTATAGACATGCTCATATATTTGAAGTGTGGCCATAAAATAATGAGCAATTTTTATGTGTGACCTTTGTATTTTGCCCATATCTGTGTATAGTCCCTGTAGCCAATGCAACTAGCTATCCACAAAATTCTGTGCTCCTCCTTGCATTGTACAGCTTTCTTACTGGGAAATAGCTGTCCAATTAGGAACATACTTCCCAGAATTTCTTGCATCTCAGTATGGCCTATGTCCCTGGTTCTCACCAATGGAATGCAGACAGAAGTAATGTGTGTCACTTCCATGCCGTGATTTAAGAAACAACTGTGACTTCTCCACAATTTCTCTTTCTTTCTACCAGCTGGACAAGGCCCAAGGGGATAGCAAAGCTGCTGAATAACTGTGTGGGAAAATGCCATATGCCAGCCAGGATCGTTTGCCTTGGACTGTTACATGAGCAAGAAATGTGCTTCTATTGTATTAAGCCACTAAAAGTTGGGGATTTATTTGTTACAGCAGCTAGTCTTACCCTAATTATAATAGTCCTTCAATGTGTTTGTGTGCAGATATAAGAGAATAAAACTGAATTTCAACAAATCTTACTTTTTATGGTTCATTTCACACACTTCCATCTTCCTTGTAACATAGCAAAATGTTATTTATCTGTTATTAACAACTGCAGTGATACCTAAATTTATTTTTGGAATATCTAGAATTGTTAATAATGTCTTCTGAAAGAGCAGTGACTTTTGGGGGAAAGAAATGCAATTTAATGGGAAAGAATTTTCTTCTGGGGCCTCAAATTGCCAGTAATAAAATCATTAATCTCAAGGAAATGTCAATAAGAAGTGAACAAATAGAACAAAACCAGCCATACTCTCATCCTGTCTCAATTATCCTTTCCCTAGATATCTCAAAAGCTCCAATTCATTAAAAAATTTTATTAACACTATCTGATAACTTCTACACAATTACCCTTCATGAGGTCATTTATCAGGCAACTCCTTAAAACTGAAAAACTCCTGATGTTCCAAAGGAATGATGACAATGATGAAATTTCAGATGATATGACAAAAAAAAAATTAAGGAAGAAATTCTGGAAATACACCTGCCTAATATCTGTCAAACCATAAAATGCAGGTGACATCATTCTTTACTACTATTCTTCAGGCTGATTCTAATTTAATTTAAGCTTTGTATTGCCCCACCAATTCAGGTCTATGTATCAATAACTGGATTGGAAAAGAAATAAACTGGCATCAATTGATGGAGAGTCTTTATTTCTTCTACATTATTGGACCCCATCCTAGTAATTAGAACAAAAAAAAAGTTAGGTTTTGGGAATTGTATGCAACCCTAAGGCTTACCCTGTACAATGTGCTGTGGAAACAAAAAAAAAGGGTATTAGATATGACACCAACTCTCTAAAAACTCAACATTAATGAAAAACCAACATGCAATCTCTATGACAAATTGAGACTTTTCTTTTGAATGCCAGACCTATGTGTCTAGCTAGCCACTGGACTTTTCTTACTACAGTATTCTACAGGCATCTGACAACACTCAACATGTCCAAAACTGACACCATCTTCCCCCTTTATCACCCACTCTGCCTCACTCATGCATCCCTGATCTTGTCAAATGGCCCCAAGATATTTCTAATGCCCAAATGAGAAACATGAAATTCGCCATCCTCTTTTCACTATTACCTACACACACACACATACACACACACACACTTATTTCCTAGCCTTATAGATTATAACATCAATAAATATCTCTCAAATTGAATCTCCTCTCTGCACCCCTACTATGTCAGACAACACAACGTCTTTCACCCGAGTTAGGCAGCATTCCAAAACCACATCCTCATTGCTTGCAAAGTTCTTTCTAAAACACATGCCTTTTACCCTATTACCCTTTAACAGAAACCTGAAGGCCTCCAGGATAACACTGTATATCCTTGGTATACAGGTCATTTATTTTCTGATCCAAGTGATTTGCTCTGCCTCTGTCTCTTGCCACTTTCTCACACATGCTCTGCATCCCAGCCTTATTAAAATCAATAGCAAATCAAATAAAGAATAAATTCAAAACTAAAATTAAATCTACTAGGAATTCTTTGCACACCCTACGCTGTTTTGTGTTTCCGTATTTTCACATGTTACAATCATTCTGCCTTCCTGGAATGTCTTTTCCCTCCCCCATCTTTCTGGCTAACACTTACTGGTAACTGCAGACTCAGTAAAAGCATTACCTGGATGCTTCTTTGATCCACCCACAAGTGAGAGGTGCCCTCCTCTGTACACGCACATCATGGGATGCATACCTCACCTGGCACTAACAACACTGATGTAATTGTTGATTGATATAATAGCCACTCTTGCTAAACTCTTGTTTATCCCTCCATTCTTAGCACTTGAAACAAGGCCTGGCATAAAATACACCATAAAATAAATCAATTGTATTTGTAACTTTAAAAATCAGATATAAAATAAATCTCATTTTGTTTTATTATCATTGGTTTTTGGTTTGGTTTTGCTTTGTTTGGTAAAAGTGGTGAGGGCGTCTTTGGATGACAGTAACTATATTAGTCATAGGTATATTATAATTTTACCTGGTGATAATCTGTGCACCTTACATCAATAGAATGTTATAATTGCCTTGACTATTTCTAGAAAATTCCAAGTCAATCTTTTACTTACTGAAGGCTCAGATTTCTAAAACAGGTAAAATTACAGCCCTTGGTATAACTCATTGGATTAAAAGAAAAGCCCACTTTCGTTCCCTGTGTGAAAAAAAGGTTTATCCAGAAAACATTTTGAAAAAAAAAGGAGACATTTAGGAATAAATTAAATGATCCATAAACAAATACAAATCATCAAATGGCATGTTTTCTCTGATTTCACAGTATCATACATGAAAATAAGTGTGAGAAAGGAGAAATATGACAATGAAAGCTTATTGTCATCCTCTGGCTTTCCATTTGAAGCATCATGAGCACAGACTACAACTGTGTTTCTTAAGGAGGAAGCAGTTGTTCCTAATACAAAAAAAGCTTGTTCAAATGTCTGTGTATGTGTGTACCTTAATTTACACATGAAGTCAGTGTGATCAAGGAATATTTCATCTCTTTTCTTTACCTTATTTTACTTTCTTGAAGAAAAAAAATCATTTTTAAACAGTAAAAATAAAACACATGCATTTTTCTCCATGAATAAAAATAGGACTATCATTGATTTGAAAAACAGAAAGAAAATGAAAGAGAAAGGTAATATTAACCCATCATTCTAAAAATGTTTTAAATCAGCATATTCTGAGTAAGACTACCCTTGAACATAGATGAAAAGGGAAGTGACTGCATCGTGCGACTTTTAGTTGCCAGATCTTATATTTTCTATCCTTGTGTATTAGTCCGTTCTCATGCTGCTATAAAGAACTGCCTGAGACTGGGTAACATATGAAGGAAAGAGGTTTAATTGACTCACAGTTACACATGGCTGGAGAGGCCTTGGGAAAGATACAATCATGGCAGAAGGGAAAGCAAACACATCCTTCTTCACATGGTGGCAGGAAGGAGAAGTGCCGAGCCAAGAGGGGAAAATCCCCTTATAAAACCATCAGATCTCAGAGAATTTACTCACTATAATGAGAACAGCATGGGGGGATCACCCCCATGATCTAATCACCTCCCATGAGGTCCCTCCCCCAATGTGGGGATTACAATTCAAATTAAAATTCAAGATGAGATTTGGGTGGGGACACAGAGCCAGACCATATTACCTTGGTTGACTAACACATAGTGGGCACTAGATCTGTTTTTGTGGAATGTTTTACTGAATGGTTTTGTTTAGTGAATGAATTAATGATGATTAATGAGGAAATAAATAGGAGTACAGCATCTGCATTATATGTAAATATTTAAAATTTAAAGAAGAAAATACATTCAGTTCTTAGGTATTAGCATAGCTTATATGAAGGAAGTCTTTTGGTTGAAGAAGGTAGGAAAGGCATGGTAGGGAAGGTTAGAGAAGGAATTCTGGAAGTGTTAAGGATTATAATCTGCTTTCAGAAAGAGAACTGGGGAACTGCTGGCAGAAAAAAGAAAAAAAAGTGGTGGCAAATGTTGAACTGACTCAGACGGACCAGAAGAGAGAAATTTAGGAGAAAAGACTTGGAAAGGATTCTTTCTTCCTAGATAAATCAAAGCCAAAGGCGGTTGTAAAATTGAGTAATCGTTTATGAGTTTTGCTATCAAAATGCCCTAGAACATGGAGAATCAATGCAAAGCAAATGAATGTTTTGGTACACATTAAAATCAATGGGAGCATTCAGAGATGAGCTTTCTGAGCTACTCAGTAATCTTTTTATTTGACTCTGATTAGGGCCTTCTTGCAGTTCCAGTTCCAAAGAGTTAGCATTTTTCTCACAACACCTATGCTGTCCTTCTCTCCTTACTGTCAGCACAAACCCCTGCCAAAAATGTTATTGAAAAAAGCAGAAGCCATAAGAAACATGATAGTCTTCTTTTTAATTTATATAAAGTTATGAGGTACAAGTGCAATTTCTTTACATGTATCAATTGTATAATGGTCAGGGCTTTTAGGGTAACTGTGACCTGAATAACATATATTGTACTCATTAAGAATTTCTCATCATCCACCCTCTCCCACGCCTTCACCCTCCCAAGTCTCCAATGTCTATCATTCCACTCTCTACATCCATGTGTACACATTTTTTTAACACCCACTTATGAGTGAGATTATTTGATATTTGTCTTTCTGTGTCTGGGTTGGTTCACTTAAGATAACGGATTCCAATTCCATCCATGTTGCTGCAGAAGACATGATTTCATTCTTTTTTATGGCTGAGTAGCATCCCATTGTGTATATATGCCACATGTTCTTTATCCAGTCATCCACTGATGGATAATTAGATTGATTCTATCTTTGCAATTGTGAATAGTGCTGCAATAAACATATGAGTGCAGGTATCTTTTTTGTGTAAAGATTTATTTTCTTTTGGTACATATCCAGTAGCAGGACTGCCAGATCAAATGGTAGTTCTATTTTTAGTTGTTTGAGAAATCTCCATATTGTTTTCCATTGAGGTTGTACTAACCTACATTCCCACCAACAGTGTACAAGAGTTCCCTTTTCTCCACATCCTTACCAACATCTGCTATTTTTTGTCTTTTTAATGGCCATTCTGATTGTTGTGAGATGGTATCTCATTGTAGTTTTAATTTGCATTTCTCTGATGATTAGTGATGTCAAGTATTTTTTCATATACTGTTGGCCATTTGTATGTATTCTTTTGAAAAATATCTATTCATGTCCTTTGCCCACTTTTTAATGGAGTTATTTTGTTGTTGTTGAATTGGGTGCCTTATAAATTCTAGATATTAGTCCTCTGTTGAATAAATAGTTTGCAGATACTTTCTTCCCTTCTTCAGGTCATCTGTTCACTCTGTTGGTTCTTTCTTTTGCTGTATAGAAGCTTTTAGTTTAATTAAGTTCCATATGTCTGTTTTCATTTTTGTTGCCTCAGCTTTTGAGGTCTTTGTCATGAATTCTTTGCCTACACCAATGTCCAGAAGAGTTTTTCCTAGATTTTCTCCTAGTATTTTTATAACTTCAAGTCTTATGTTTAAGCTAATCCATCTTGAGTTGATTTTTGTATATGACAAGAGATAGGGGGGTCCTGTTTCATTCTTCTGCATATGGCAATCCAATTATCCCAGCACCAGTTATTGAAAAAGGTCTCCTTTCCCCAATATATGTTCTTATTGGCTTTGTCAAAGATCAGTTGTCTGTAAATATGTGGCTTTATTTCTGGACTATCTATTCTGTTCTATTAATCAATGTGTCTATTTCTTATACCAGTACTGTGCTGTTTGGGTTAACATAGCTTTGTAATATAACTTGAAGTCAGGTAATGTGATGTCTTCAGCTTTATTCTTTTTGCTTAAGACTACTTTGGCTATTTGGGGTTTTTTTAGTTCCATATGAATTTTAGAATTATTTTTCTAATTCTGTAAAAAATGACATTGGTATTTTGATAAGAATGGCATTGAATCTGTAGATTGCTTTGGACAAAATGGTCATAGAAATGTGACAGCCTTCAGTTCCCCTTCTCTCCCATCCACCTCCAGACTAAACCACTATGGCACCTGGTTCTTACCTGCACCCCTATCATCTCAGAGAATTGATCATTTGCTCCTTCCTGATCACACATACGTTTCAATCATGTACTTTGAAGTAGATTCTAAATTTTTGCTATCACTAACAATGTCTTATACCAATCCCTTTGTGTTCCTGAACACATCTGGAATTACCTATTATTACCTATATTAGTTCATTTGATCTCCCACCAACTTGTACTGTATAAACTTTGAAAAAGTTGAGCTGCCATACTGTCTAGGTCAGAGAAAAAAGACGTATCAGCAGTTCTAACTTTTCCAAGTGATACATTTACTGATCTCACCTTTACAGAGATCTAACTGGTGTGACTGATTATTCAGCAAAGTTTGCTAATGTTACTTAGATGTGGTCGATACAGGGTAATGCAAACAGAGAGCTGAATATGAAGAGCCTAATACTTGCTCTGTAAGTTGTTCATGGCATTATGAGAATATTTGTTCTCCTAAAAGCTCAGGATGCCAGCTCCTTCTTAATAAAATATTAGTTTAGCTCTATTGGGTTGCAATTAACCTCTTTGTCATGGACTGCCTAATCTTAAAAATAAAAAGAAGTCACAGAGGCAGTTAAATCAATCTACTAGACTGCAACACAAGATTCTAATCTATAAGTAAAAAGCTTAGGTAAACAATTATGCTCTTGGCCAAAGAGACTACATTACATAGTATAATTACTCATATTTCATCTGTTGTTTCCTCTCTAAAGAAAACCATTGGCTTCCACAAGGAGAAGCTTGCTATTTTGGCTGTTATTTTTTATTCTATGGGAATTTTTTTGTCACAATTATTGGCAAGAAAATGCCATAACTATTTGGCACAAGATATTTCACACTGTAATTATCTTGGCAGTTTTGGAGTCTGTTTGAAAATACTGTACAGTATAAATGGGCAGAGATTTAGGCCATCTCTTTTAGAACACATATGGATAACTGACAGAATGGATTTCTTGGCTGTAATTTTCCTCTTTGTATTATTATAATGTATCAGGTACCACTGACTGATTACCTGAACAACACTATCAAGACCTCAATACCAGGAACAAAAAATAACGGGAACACTTTGCCCCCTTAAATTATTATCAGTTAGTTTATTTGGTTCAAAGCAGCATAATTCTCTCCAAATGAAAGTATTCTCAACCTGTGCTTCATTTTTGTGGGGAAAAAAGAAAGCAAGGGATTGAGGTAGTTAAACCTCAACAATAAGTCTCCACTGAGAAGGACGGGGCAGCATGGGTGCAATAGAGAGAACATGGGATTTGAAATCAGTCAGACGTTGAGCGTCAGAATCTTCAACAGTAAAATGGAGACAACAATACTAATTTTCAGAATTATAGAAATGACCAATAATGAATATAAAATTCTTGGCATACATTAACTACTCCATCAACACTGGCTTCCTTCCCTTTCGATGGGTTTTGCAACCATCCATCATGGTATAATTCAAAGATAGTGTTGACATTACCCAGTGCCAGTAAGATCAAATATCAATTCAGAATAAAAGTTTGGTAATCATAGATTGATTACAAGGAAGAGGTACGTTCAAATTAGTTGGCTGCCATCACATGTTGTAGTTATTTTCCCAGATATGAATCAGAAATAAAATTCAGAGTGAGTCCATTTATTTAAGTCTTTCAATCATATGTCTAAGTTTCTTGGTAAAAATATCGATACAAGTAGGAGATTAATGTTAATTCCAGTCAATTTTGGCAAATCCTCAAAGGACTTGGACCCTTGTTCCAATCATCAGGCCCCTTTTCATGTTAAGAAGGTAAAAAGTCCTTGCTCTGGGATTACATTCTGATTTTGCCGGTGTATAGATTCACTTGTCTGTCCTGAATGCTAAAACACTATTTCTTGTATGCTGGCAGAATTTTTATCAATGAAGTATTTCTTCAAAATTTTGCAAACACCCTTGTAAACATCCTCAACTCCCAGATCTTTGAAGTCCCTGAGTCTTCTCTTATTCACTTGACCAAATTTCAACATTGGATAAACACAACTTTTCACTTACTTCTGCATCTATACCTCTTTGACTAAATATGAGTGGATTAAAACACAATATTATGCTCATAGATAACTAGTGAAATTTATGACCACTAGCCTGAAATGGACCTTTGTGCAGCTCAGAAATCCTGCTGTGTTTCTCTTGTCCACTCACTATTCCACTCTCTTAGATAACTAGTTCAGACGCACTCCACTCTTCTCACACCCTTCACCATCTTTACTCTCAGTTGATAACTGTGATTCCTGTTTTTACTGAGACAACGGGAGCAATCAAAAGAAAGCTTCCACTATATATTTACTAGTTTGCCTCCCCCACTAGAATGTGACAGAAGAGACTTTGTATCTCCAGGACTTAGAATCATGCCTGTACCATATTCCCAATTTTTGGTTGGGAAAAAAAAAATAGATAAATGTAAGACAAGGAGGATAAAATATTCCTGTAAGAGTCCTGAACAGGCTCAGGTTAAGTAACTCTGGTGCCCAAAACTGAATCAACAGCAAGTCTACTCTACCCAAGTTCAATGATCTACACCCAAATTATTTTGATATTATGGTGTTATCATGTCATCGCACCCATTATTTCCCAAAAGTTCCATGGTTCCTTTACTTGATTTAAAAAGTAGAAAGATAGGTGCTTATGCCAATATTTTAAAATGTACTTTCCTACACTGCTAGCTTCAAGATATAGGATGCTGACTTAATGGCATAAATATTTTATTTCTATTGAATTTTTCATGTTAAATGTACAGTTCACATGAATAATAGAAAGTAGCTCCTACACACCATTCATAGTTACATTTTACAATACTTTTTCAATAATCTGCTATGTGTTTGGAAGATACAGAGAAGTCTCAAAAGTCTATTTAAAATAAGCTCATCTACAGATTCTGGCACTGGAAAGAGACCTTTTTCTCTAATGCTTTTCACAATGGGGTCTGATTTTCCCTATAAATTCTAATTTACATGTCTATCAAACTCATAGTTAAAAAATCAAGTGGTCTGAGTTGTCTCGAGCTTTTTCAAATATCATTTTGTATAAAAATGAATTATTCATTTCAAAGAGACTGAGCCTTACAAAGAATTCTGTGATTCTGATGTGGAGATGCAGATAAATGGAGAAGCATTAATTTCAGAAAGAAAAGTCAACACTTCAACATCAGCACCCTTTCCCCAACTTCACTGCAAAATGTTGCCGACTTTGAGTTTCCATAAATAGATATGTAGTTACTGACACCACCACTTAGGTTCAGCCGGTCAAAACTGCTGCGAAAGTACTGTACTTTCTTTGGCCAACTTCATCTGTGCCATGAAATCACTTAAAGTAAGTAAGAGAAAACAATAATCATGTAGTGCAAATACAAATACATACTTTTTTGAGAGGAAAAGACTATGATCAAAGCTTTTTACTCAGTCTGATTATCATTCGTGTATGAAAATGTTAGGTCACAAATCAGATGCCAATTATTTCTCTTTTGTTTAAAAATATATAACTTTAAGATATAGACCATTGTTAGCTGTAGAATTTTTTCATTTTTAATTTTTGTGGGTACATAGTAGCTGTATATATTTATAGGTATATGAGATGTTTTGATACAGGCACGCAATGCGTTAATAGTCACATCATGGAGAATGAGATATCCATCCTCTCAAGCATTTATCCTTTGCGTTAAAAACAATCCAATTAAACTCTTTTAGTTATGTAAAAATGAAAACAATTGACAACAGGGACATAGAGAGTAGAAGGATGGTT
Source organism: Homo sapiens (assembly GCF_000001405.40). Lineage (NCBI taxonomy): Eukaryota > Metazoa > Chordata > Mammalia > Primates > Hominidae > Homo > Homo sapiens. The sequence continues at coordinate 62,997,260 of NC_000014.9, forward strand.
ACAAGAGGCTGGGAAGGGTAGTTGGGGAGTAAGATGGGGAGATGGTTAATGGGTATAAGAAAAAAATAGTTAGAATATTATAGGCTTTATATAGATGTTCCTTATCAAACTAGAGAAGCTCCCCTCTATTCAAACTTTACTGAGAGTTTTTATCATGAACAAGTGCTGGATTTCAGCAAGTGCTTTCTCTCTGCTGACTGGCATAATCATGACTTTTCTCATTATTTTGTGAATTACATTTTTATATGGTAGATTACAGCAACTGGTTTTTGCATGTTAAACCAGCCTTGCATAAGTGGGATAAACCCCACTTGGTTGTCATAATTCTTTTTAGATATTGTTGGATCCAATTTTTGTAGAGGATTTTGAATCTATATTCATGAAAAATATTGGTTTGGAAGGCCGAGGCAGGCAGATCACGAGGTCAGGAGATCGAGACCATCCTGGCTAACACAGTGAAACCCCGTCTCTACTAAAAATACAAAAAAAAATTAACCGGGCATGGTGGTGGGCGCCTGTAGTCCCAGCTACTTGGAAGGCTGAGGCAGGAGAATGGCATGAACCTGGGAGACGGAGCTTGCAGTGAACCGAGATGGCACCACTGCACTCCAACCTGGGGGACAGAGCCAGACTCCATCTCAAAAAAAAAAAAAAAAAAAAATTAAAAAAAAAATATGTCTGTAGTTTTCCTTTCTTGTAATGTCTTTTTCTGGTTTTGCTATATGGGTAGTGCTTGCCTCAGAATAGGTTAAGAGAGCTCTCTCTGCTTCTATTATCTGGAAAAGACTTGAACTGGTATTATTTCTTCCCTAAACGTATGGTAGCGCTTACCAATGAAACCATCTGCATCTGGTCTTTTCTTGGTTTTGGAAGATTATTAATTATTGTTAATTTTTTAAATAAATAAAGCACAAATGAAGTTCATTTTTCCTTCTGTAAGTTTTGGTAGTTTGTGTGTTTCAAGGAACTGGTCTGTTTCATCCAATTTATCAATGGCAGCTATAGAGTTGTTCGCAGTAGCCCTTTACTCTGCTTGAATGTCCATGTCTTTAATTTCTGATATTGGTAATTTGTGTCTTTACCCTTTTTTCTCAGTTAGCCTGGCTAGAGGTTTACTAACTTTAATGACCTGTTCAAAGAACCAGCTTTGGGTTTTTGTGATTTTCTCTAATGTTGTCCTGTTGCCCAGTTCATTGATTTCTGTTGTAAGGTTTATTATTCCTTGTCTTCAGTTTGCTTTGGTTTAAATTGTTTTTCTTTATCTAGTTTTCTAAGGTAGAATCTTAGATTATTGATTTTATGTCTTTCTTCTTTTCTAATATATGCATTTAATGTTACATATTTCCCTCTAAGCACTGCTTTTGCTGCATCTCACAAATTTGATAAATTGTATTTTCATTTTTCTTTAGTTAAAAATATTTTTCTAACTTATCTTAAGGCTGCTTCTTTGATTTGTTTAGAAACATGTTTCATTTCCAAATATTTCAGGATCTTCCAGATATCTTTCTATTACTCATTTCTAGTTTAATTCCACTTTGGTCTGATAACATACTTTTTAAGATTTATATTTTTTTAAATTTATTAAGGTAGTTTTATGGCCCAGAATGTTATCTCTCTGGTGAATGCTCCACTCCTTGTGAGGTGAAGAATATGTATTCTCTGGCTGTTGGATGGAGCACCATGAATTTTAAAACAAGCAAATGAGCATTAAACCTAAATATTGCTGCAATAAACATACGTGTGCATGTGTCTTTACAGCAGCATGATTTATAGTCCTTTGGGTATATACCCTGTAATGGGATGGCTGGGTCAAATGGTATTTCTAGTTCTAGATCCCGGAGGAATCGCCACACTGACTTCCACAATGGTTGAACTAGTTTACAGTCCCACCAACAGTGTAAAAGTGTTCCTATTTCTCCACATCCTCTCCAGCACCTGTTGTTTCCTGACTTTTTAATGATTGCCATTCTAACTGGTGCGAGATGGTATCTCATTGTGGTTTTGATTTGCATTTCTCTGATGGCCAATGATGATGAGCATGTTTTCATGTGTCTTTTGGCTGCATAAATGTCTTCTTTTGAGAAGTGTCTGTTCATATCCTTCGCCCACTTTTTGATGGGGTTGTTTGTTTTTTTCTTGTAAATTTGTTTGAGTTCATTGTAGATTCTGGACTATTCACAATAGCAAAGACTTGGAACCAACCCAAATGCCCAACAATGATAGACTGGATTAAGAGAATGTGGCACATACACACCATGGAATACTATGCAGCCATAAAAAATGATGAGTTTATGTCCTTTGTAGGGACATAGGTGAAATTGGAAATCATCATTCTCAGTAAACTATCGCAAGGACAAAAAACCAAACACCGCATGTTCTCACTCATAGATGGGAATTGAACAATGAGAACACATGGACACAGGAAGGGGAACATCACACTCTGGGGACTGTTGTGGGGTGGGGGGAGGGGGGAGGGATAGCATTAGGAGATATACCTAATGCTAAATGACGAGTTAATGGGTGCAGCACACCAGAATGGCACATGTATACATATGTAACTAACCTGCACATTGTGCACATGTACCCTAAAACTTAAAGTATAATAATAATAAAAAAAAAAGGGAAAAGAAAAAAAAAACCCTAAATATTATTAGAAGACTGTTCAATTTAAAAGTAGTATTTATAGTTATCTTAAATTTCCCAGGCACTGAGTCTATGTGTAAAGGAACAGGGAATATGGGTCCAAATTGAATACTTTATTCGATCTTCAAAGCACAAATAAATTGCTGTCATACTTTGAATGGTTTGCACACTGTAAAAATTATCCTCTCGCTATTTGATGTTAACCAGAAACTGAGCAGATACAATATTATATATGTGAGTTCCTATGCAAGGAATAAACTTACTGTGATTTTTTCTATAATTATGATTACAGTTGGAAAGATTAAAGTTTCTATGCCAGTTTTTTAAAAAGAAGTAAGGAAAGGCGATGTTTGTCAAATGCAAAGAGGAAGACATTTTATTTTTAGTTTCCTAAGAGATTATTAAAAATAACATTTCATAAAAACTACTTCTAAGGTTATTTGAAATACTTCATTTATATGACACCAGTTTCTAATTTAAACATAATTGGAGAGAATAAATTGGGAATAAATTACATAGAAAAGGAGGTAAAAGCACATGCCACTGACTAGTGGTTTCTATAGCAGTCTCTTTGACTATTATAGTCAATAAGACTACAGTCAGAAGGTTTGCATTTTGCCAGTCACTCTCCTGAAGACAAAATTATTCTTTCCATAATCTAGCAACATCTACTCTAGGGACTACACAACAGAATAAATAAAAACTGAAAAGTAACTTGAAAAAGTCAACTATTACAATTGTAATTCAACAAAATTCAATCAACTAACCAACTGAGCTCTAGTTAGATTTCACCCAAACCATTCCACCAATTGTTACGTTTTGGCTCTAAAGCTCACCATGGTATGAGGTGTTGAAATTCCAATCATATTGATTCAAAATTAACAATGCTCAGCCAGGTGTATGGCCCACGTCTGTAATCCCAGCACTTTGGGAGGCCAAGGGGGGTCAGATAACTTGAGCCCAAGTGTTTGAAACCAGCCTGGGCAACATGGCGAAACCCTGACTCTATAAAAAATAGAAAAATTAGCCAGGTATGGTGGCGCACACCTATAGTCCCAGCTACTCAGGAGGCTGAGGTGGGGGGACCACTTGAGACTGGGAGATGGAAATTTCAGTGAGCTGAAATGACACCACTACACTCCAGCCCAAGCAACAGAGTGAGACCTTGACTAAAAGACAAACAAAAAAAATGCTCTATAAAATTTCTTACTCATGCTATAAGTTAACCAATCTATATTTCAACTTTGGATAGACATGCCATTTCTATTCCAACAGTATGATTGAATAAAACAGATTCCAAGCAATGAAGCAAAAGAAAGGCCACATAGTAGAATTTTGTTTTCCAGTTCAATCAGCAGAGGTAAAACAGTAAGAAGATCTTTTAGCAACAGCCTAATTTTTCAGTGTAGTAATTCTTTTGAAAATTACCTTTTGTTGAATCATCCTCTATTGGCTGTTTGAACAACGTAATATCCTTGAAAGTACACAGGAACAAGACCACCTTTTCATGTTCATTTCTTATTGGTGCAATTTGCATATAAAACCAAACAGGGGTTCCTGTAACAGAAAGAAGTTGGGGAAAGGACATTAGAGTGTGGCACGGCCACAGCAGTGGTTTGGTCTCCTGGCTTCCTTCTTCCTTCAGCTGCCAACAGCTGTGCCAGGAATCAACACCAAAACAACAGTATATTAATTACTACAAACAATCCGTAAACCTTTAATTTTGTATCAACTACCAGTTGTTCAAATTTAATAAACACAGTATACACGCCAAAATATCAAAATTCTAAAGTAAAGCACAGGCTGTCATTTCACAATGCAGGAACACAAAGGCAGTCTTGCTACTTAAGCAATCCCAGCAACACCTGTAGGTCTGGGTCCCTCAACCACTGCTGCTCTCACCAACTTTCTTCTGAGAGTCTTACCAATTGTGATCACTCCTACCTGCTTCTCTCGTCATGTCACTTTGACAAGTGTTTCCAATTAACTGCAACAGCCATACCTGATCTTCTAATAAGCATTCCTCTTGGAGGAACATCTAAAATACTGTTTCTATCCCAAGGCTCTCTCATCAGTCAGATAGACTTATATGATAGCTCTATGGCTTTGACAGCATCCCCACATCAGAGAGAGAGGATGTCAGCAAAACTTGATGTCCGATGTACACAGAGCTCTACCTGAAACTGTTAAGGCAGCCTGAAGAAAAATAGACGTGTCCCCAGCTTTTGAGATCCCCAGGCATCTTTTTGAGCCACTGCTGCCTACCTCCCTCACTTAAACAGCATGAAGCTGGACTCTATCACCTCGTTCTTCGAAGGATGGCTACTGCAGACTCTGCCCTCTAGGACAGAGGGTATCAAAGTATTCAAGGCTTATCATTTGGATAAGTCAGGAACTGGTATATAACAAATAGAAATATGTGAAGGCACAAGAAATGCCTTCAAAGGTGTAATTATCTGTTAGGTGATAAAACACTGAAGGGAAGATTCCATTACAATCAAAGAGACACATTTACATTACAATCAAAGAGACACTTTTCTCATTATATTCTCTTCATGCCACAGTGCAGTAAAGCCCCTCCAAATATTCTATTTTAAGACATAAAGGTTTTTGTAAGGTTTAGGATTTGGGGAGTGAAACGTGCAGGTATTAATAGTCTGTAGGTAAGACCCTAGCCTTTTACTAGCTTCCATTAAGAACCGAATAAGAAGCACTTCTATTCCCATGGCCTAAAAAAATAAAAAATAAAAAAGTCACCTAATGTCACCACAAAGGGGAATTTTTCATTTAGACAGGATGAGATAACTACCAGGCTCAAGAAGTCAGAGAATTAGAGAAAGGAGATTTCTATGGGACTATTCAGCTGTGACAATCAGGTTTTCTGCAACCCCAGGGGGCCTATGGAAGGACGTGGCCCTTTCCAAAATGATGGTAGAATGAGACAGGGACCTCAAAAATAATCACATCATCTCCCCGAGAGGCTTGTTCATTTTTTTCTGTTTTCGTATTTTACACAGCGTGACCAGGAACTGTGAGTGATGTGCACGGTTTTACAAATCACCAGACCCAGACGTTAGTGGATACATGGCCTGTAGCTATTCCAACACAGTAAGCTTGAGGCAGAAGGGTCATAAACAAAGAGAAAAGGGCACTAAAAAAATAAGTAATTTTCCAAGGTCTGTTAGAAATCTGAACAGAAAGAGATGATGTTAGATTTCATGCCTTGCTGTGAAAACCGCAACTTTTCAAATTCTGGCACAGAGTCTGGGCTCTCTTTAAAACTGCTTTAGATATGAAGGTAATTGTTTTTCAACTTTCCAAGCCACAGGGTCATATTTCCCCAAGTAGGCTGAGTATCTGCCAAGTATGTGGTGATAGATCCTTCATATTCTGGATTTGGGGTTCAGGGGGCTGGGGAGTCTGGGAGGGTTAAGTAGAGGAACCTGCTGTGGCTGAATCTCGGTGCAGTGCTCCAGCATTGATGACTTGGAGGAGCCTCGGCTATCAGTTCTGCATTTGAGTACACAGAAAGAGCCATATATATATATTATATATATATTTTATATATATTATATATATTTTATATATATTATATATATATTTTATATATATTTTATATATTTTATATATATTATATATTATATATAGTATATATTATATATATTTATATTTATATACATAATATATATATTTATATATTTATATTTATATATATATATATATTTTTTTTTTTTTGAGACGGAGTCTCACTCTTTCGTCCAGGCCCAACTGCAGTGGCACTATCTCGGCTCACTGCGAGCTCCACCTCCTGGGTTCATGCCATTCTCCTGCCTCAGACTCCTGAGTAGCTGGGACTACAAGGCGCCTGCCACCACGCCCGGCTAATTTTTTGTATTTTTAGTAGAGACGGGGTTTCACCGTGTTAACCAGGATGGTCTCGATTTCCTGACCTCGTGATCCGCCCGCCTCGGCCTTCCAAAGTGCTGAGATTACAGGTGTCAGCCACCGCGCCCGGCCAGAAAGAGCTATCTTAAGCTCAGAGCTACCATTTCTTTCCCCACAGTAGAAACAGCCCCCTGCTAATCAGAGCACTGGACCTACAGAACAGAGGCTGCAAACTAAAATTTCAATGGTGATGCATATTCAATCAGATGCCGCAATTCCCCCATTTGCAAAATGGTGTTTAACTTAATTGCTTAAAGGACGTATTGGGAGAACTTGGCACATAGGCATTCCCAAAACAGTTTTCTGCAGATGTGAATTTTTCTACCTAACACTTTTTTTAAATCACAAAAATATGCTTTTCTCAGCTGATGTTCAAAACCTTTCAGCTATTTACAAGACTTTTTAAAAGCTGCATTTAAATAGCAAAACTCCATTATAATACATGGATAACACCTATCCTTCACTAAAGAGGAAAACAAAAGCAAAACTCAATGTAGATAGTGCACAGAAAGGAGGCACAAGTTTTAACTTACAATGCTATGGGGTATATATCCCATTGGCTATAAGCAGGCACTTATCTGCATAGAGAGTTATCTGGAAAGAACCAGATAGGCCTGAACAATGATCAGATAATAATTTCAATCCATTAACATAAGGCAAAATAACTAAACTACCTTGGAAAGACTTCTGGAAATGTAAAATTCAAGTAATTACTAAGATGATTTAAAGTAAATAAACAGAAATTCCACTAAGATATTTTGTTGTGGTGGTTGTCATTACAGGGTCTTGCTCTGTCACCCAGGCTGGAATACAGTAGCATGATCATAGCTCACTGCAGCCTCGAACTCCTGGGCTCAAGCCATCCACCTGCCTCAGCCTCCTGAGTAGCTGGGACTATAGGCATGTGCCTCCATGCCCAGCTATTTTTTTTTTCATAGAGGCAGGGTCTTGCTATGTCACCTAGGCTTCACCTACATATTTTTTGAGAAACTCAGGAACTATGGACTTGTCTTTGGGGCTTTAAAGTCAGGCAAATGTTTGTTTATTTTGCTTAAATGTCAGAGAGTGAATGACCTTAGTTATATAGAATATTCTTAAATTATTTGCTAAACTTGGAGCACATATCTAAATTATTGAAGGCTTAACAAACCATAGGAAAATGAAGGATTTTTTGGTATACAGGTCTCCTACAAATTATCAATATGTACTTAGACTTGGCAAAAAAAGACCCAGAAAGCACCTACAGTCTGCCTTTTCTCTTGCAGAGGACAGAGCTGACCATTCAGAAGGGATTGTTTTCTAGGTGACAAGCTAGCTGACATTTAGCTATGACTTCAAACTGAAATTCTCTTTGGGCTTGATGTAAAATGAAAAATAAGATAAGCCATTCCTTAAGTAAAATTACTAAAAACAAATGTTTCCATTATCAAGTGCACTACTTTGAGGCAATGTCTCACGCTGTTATTCCTTTGTTAGTCTACTAATAAAAAGAGAAATCGAATTTTAATTCCAAATATTCCACAGATAAAAAATGTTTCAAGTAAATGGAGAGGATAAATTATGCTCCACAAGATCCAACAGGCACTGAACATGGAACAGGCGTTTCCTGTTGAAGCGAGAATGTTTTCCAAACTTGGGAAGAATTTAGTAACCATCAATTTCCATCAAAGATAATAGTAGACTTTGCTATCATTTGCTATTAACAATAAATAAATTGACTCATCTTATGAAGTGACTGTTCATTTCAAAAAAGAAAGCAAGAACAATTTGAGGAAACAGCAAAAAGATAAATGTAAGTAACCATGCAAATAAAGTGAATTAGAAAGGGGAGTTGTTGAGTATACTGTTGGTTTTTGTCATGTTGGTTTTTTTCCCTCCAAACTCTGATGGAAAGTCTATATCACCAGATATTATGTCATTATATAATGCATACCTTACCACATACAAATCTCATCCCAGAGAAAGGTCACAACAATCAACACAAATTTACCAAACGTGAATGACTTGTTCTGAGAACAACGACTACTTCTACTAGGCTTTCTCACAAAAGAGTCTGAGGCTGGCAAAAGGCCATATTGGTAGAGATTCCCCTCAAGTAGCTACCACATATTCACATTGCCTATGTTCGTGTCGAAAGGTAATTGCATATATCCAGTGTTAACAATTACCGTTTTCTTTAACCATAAGAAGAAATTAATACATGTATCTGTCAATTTTAATCGTTGTCACATAATTATAGGATCTTTATTATAAGTATTAATTACAAAATATTTTGCTGCCTGATACAAAAGTCATATTAAGATGCATCACATTTTTCTTCCATTCCTCAAAAGGTTACTTTCCATAGGTAGAATTATTTATTAATTTTATTATCTAATTTCACCAGCAACCTCTGCCCCTGCCAAGAAAAGAAGCAACAGAAGGTTTACATGCTCTCTACATTTTAGCTCCACTACGACTTACCAAACATAATATTAATAAAGAGTTGGCACATCTTATTAATAATTGAGATACCTACTGTTTTTCTTGTACAGAAGAACTTCAAAGCAGTTTGATTCGTAGTTGTCAAAAGTTTGCCTGACTTTCTCAATGGTCTTCTTGTCAGTCAATTCCCCATACATAAAACTGGGGGGGAAAAAAAACAAACAATCGATTTCACTTTTGTGTTGCCTTTCAAATGCTACAAAAATCATATAATTGTCTTTGACTAGTCAAATGTGGCTAGAAAATATAATATTGCTCCTACACAGAATAGTCAAATCATGAGAGGCAGTTCTTGCTTTACACAGTTCCTGTATGCACAGATTTCAGTCACTGTGGTTTAGTTAAATAACACCAGTTCCACAGCACAGTTCAAATTTCAGTTTCCACAGTATGTTAACTGTGAGTAATTGCACAAAGTGCAAGCTTTGCCACTTGATCTTCAGTCTACAAATCACTGGAAAATAACAGATGCACCTTCACAACCAGTCACTGATCACATCACTTCTTTCAAAGCCTGTCAGTATTGGAAACAGCACGGCTGTTACTCAGTTCACGCACAGACAGAAAAGCATGTAGTCATATTGCCTCCTTTTCTCTCAGTGATAAACCCATATGACATTTTACAAAAATGGATAATCAAAAGCAGTAAGTAGCCAACAAAAACTAAAGTCCACCAAAGAAATGAAAAATAATAATGTTGGAAGTGGAATTCAAATTGAACATAAATGAAGTTATAAGAGAAATAGGTGACCATGGAAATGTCAATACTACTGCCATTTGGGAGACTCTAAATATGCATCCAAAAGGACTTAGTGAAGGTGAGCTCATCCATATAAATGAAGAAAGTGGTTGTGACAAAAAGGATGAAGGTTTCCCAGAGGAGGTGACACCAGTTTAAAAACAAACCAAAAAAACCCTCCTTATTAAAGGAGCTCTAGTACATTGATCACAATAGTGAAAGTGGAAGAATAAAATATTTGAAATTAATTCTAACTTAGAAAGGAGGATGACAATTTTCGAGAAGATAGAAAAGATGCTCTCTTTATACAGAAAGTTACATTCTGAAAAGCCAAAGAATTGTTTAAATGACTCATAAGTTTTTTAAGAAGAAATAAAACACTTCCTCCATTCTCAACGTTTCTAATGTTCAAAATCACAGTACACTAAATAAATATGAGTTTTACTATGATATCATCTCCCTGCATTGATAACCAACAGTAAGAGAGTTTTTATTGTTTTGACAAACATTTTTAAAGATGCTAAAACCATCATAATTTTTATTGAGTATTAAGATAGTATTATGTGGTTTCAGCTTGCATGGACCTTATGTTCCCATACTATCATTAAAAAAGTGAGGATTGCATATGATACATATAATGCATTGACATTCTCATCATTTCAGGGAATTTTCTTAAGATAGGTACAAGTGTGGCTAATGGAAGGGAAGTAAAGATGGCATCTTGAAGGAATCATACATTATTACAGTGGTTAGAGGAACATACAAAACATAGATTAAGGAGTGAATGTCCATATTCCACAAAAACTTTCTAATGTTTGACATTCTCTATTTTTCTAAGAGAACCTTGGCAAAAGTCTGATCATCTAAATAACAAAACTTGCCCAAGAACTACATGTCTCTAAAACTCCATTCTCAATGCTTTCAAATCATCAGTTGTACATCTGGTTTTAGATACACAGTTCTGCTGATCGGTATGATTGTCCAGACCATTTCTTCCACCAGGAAAGAAAATGTGGCATTACTAAACACCTTAACTAAGATTTTGAAAGATCAAAAGTCTGTCTTTGTTATTGCTTTTCTTTCAGTTTTCAAAGAGTTCACATATTTACTAGAGGCAGATCCAAAGTGTGGTGGAGGCTGAAGCTTATACAATTTGTGAAGCCCTCCTTAAGAAAAAGAATACAAAATTATAAAACAAGATTACAAACAGAGCCTCGAAAGACATCCACTCAAATGAGGGCCCCTGAAGGTTCAGCTTCATTATAGGCTCACAGAAAATCTGCACCTGAAAATACCAATCAATAAAATTTACAACCTAAAAGGCATAGTTTTTCAGCAAGATCCAGTAATGACACACAGGATCCAATAGCAGCACCACATTACAACCAGAAATTACAGGGTAACTCAAGCCCACCTTCTATAACACCAACCTAAGCAACTAGAATTCTAGAAAGTCAGAAATGAAAGTGGGTAAGGCAGATCAAAGATTGTCCAAGCACCGAGAAACCTGAATCCTTCATTTTTAATATATTTAATTTAAAAAGGAAAATTTTAATTGTCATTAAAATAATAAAATAAGTAAAAGGATCTCAGAATAAAATGACAGACTCTTAATTCCATAATCTTATATCTAGACTAACACAGGAAACCTCAAAGCACACCTGCAAGCTGGCACTGAAAAGCCACTGTTACTGTCAAAGCTGAAATTTCAGCTCATGAGAGTTTCATAAAAATTGCTTGAAGGCATTACAATTAAATTAGAATTATTCAGCTAAAGAACATAAAGCCACTTCTCTCCCAAAAAAATATTAGCTTAATATTGTACATAATATTTTTATAGACAAGTGAAATTTTTAAATCTTTTTTTACTAACTTTTATTTTTAATTAAAGAATCTTAATAAAGCAGAAACATTTTAAAATTCAAGATAAGGGCAATTAAACTAAGTAAATATTTGTAGTCTTAAAAGAAAGAAAGAAAAACCATTTCACACTGCTACTAAATGACAGGTGTCTGTGGTTCAATAAACTGAAACATAATATTCGCAATTGGTCAACAGAAAAACAAAATAAGAAAGAATTTATGATATAACAAGCAACTAGGATAAAAATTATCAAAAATTAACTCCAATAAGATTTAAAAGTAAGTTACAACTCAAATTTAAAAAAGAAGCTCTTTGAGGGATTGGTTTAATAACACCAACGAAGAAAAAATGCAACACAGGTCTGATGCAGCTCAACTTCTGAAGAGAAGATAAAAACAAACAAGCAATTTTTAAATAAACCATAAAAATTTCATAATACACCTCCATTAGTTAGTCCTTCCAATGCTAAAATCACTTATCCTAGGAAAATAAAGGCACTTAAGAAAAATAATCCTATATTATTAAAATCCGAATGCGGTTTTTAAAATAGTCTTTCATTTCTTACATTGTTCCACTCAGATTTTTCATTTATTATACCGCATATTTCCAGTGATAGAACATGTATTTGAAGGGGTGACATGTAGCAGTTAAATAATAAGAGGTATTTCAAAACAGACTATAAAGAATGTCAGAAATGTACTATCTATCTATCCTCCCAAGGCAAGTGTTCTGGAGGTTAATTCAATCTCTGAAAGTATTTTCAGCCAAAGTTGTCCAAGCCATACTGATAAATCAATGATTCCCGCATTCTCTGTGGGTATGGCACATTTGTTTATTTGCTTGGCTTTGTCACATATGAATGCTGAAATGTTTTATCACAGGTTCCTGAAGCCTGACTCAGGATGACTGAAGCTCAATGCAGTCTTTGAATGGTTAATCAATTTGAGGGGTCACAAATTATAGAAATAGTAATCAACGGGCTTTAGAAACCATATATAATAATTTTCCATAGTTTTCATATCTTCTACCAAATATCCTCAAGGAATATGTAACGGAAATATTTTTAAAATCACAAAACTTCCACTTGCTCTCTTACATAGGATGCCAAGCTCCTCCTTGGTAATTATAAATGAACTACTGCACTGTTACTTTATTGAAAGGAAAATAGAATTGGATTCACAGAAGCAATCTATCTCTGTTATAATATTGGGCAGTCATGGTATAACAGAGGACTTTTGCATTTGGAGGACCACTTACAAAGTGGATAATTTATGGACAAGTCGTATATCCTCTCTGACCCATAGTTTCATCAGTAAAATAAGGACAATAATAATATAACTCAAAGGGTGACAAAAGGATAATGCAAATAAAGTTACAAATTATAACGTGTTACACAATGGCTGAAATATGACTGGAATGTACGGATGGGACTAGAATGCCCCTTCCCCACCCCAGCCTCACTCCCTAGCTTCTCCAGGATTCTCCAGGAACCATGCTTTCCAAAAGGCAGTGTGTCACTGTGTCTTAAAGGGAGATGTGCATGGTTCTGTGAATCTTCTTTCTTCACAAGCCCATGAGGTTGAAGCAAACGCTCACTCAGAACCTGCTCCTGTATAATCTGGCCACTTTTCTTGTCACACAACTGACTGGTTTCATCTTGGGAATAAGGGATAAGTTGTCTTCAGGCCTGGTCTAGGCCATACCCAGCTCGCCTAGGCATCTGGCAGTTATCGTTCATGTGTGTCTGACCTAGAAAACTTTGAGGAACAGGTGGTTTGGGCTTGTAGCAGGATTTATTTATTCTTGGATCCCTTGCTCTGCTCTCAAAATCTCACGAACAAGCCTCATTATAGTACCTAGCGTAAGAATGGCTATAACGATTGACAGACTTCCAAAGGAGAAAAGAATCTTACAACTCTGAAGAAAACATAACCTATTCATGAGTTCCACCAACCTCTCTTACTCTGCTAAATGTGCAACGGTGTGTCTAGACTAAAATGCAACAAACATTCAGTCACCATAATACAGGGTAATATTATCTGCAGGCTGTAGTTCATAGATTAGCAAATCCTTCGTCAAAACAAAGCAACACAGATAGACTTAACGCAGTTGGTAAATGTGGTCTCCAGCTCAGAAGTGGCCACAACCATAGAATCATAAAGGTTAATGGGAGGTGGACTGAGATCTACAGTCGAAGGATCAAAAAAGATAAAGCCTGAGAGAGGGGAAGTTAAGGAGGAAAAATTAAAAACAAGAATACAGTTTTCGGCCCGGCACAGTGGCTCACGCCTGTAATCCCAGCACTTTGAGAGGCTGAGGCGGGCAGATCACCTTAAGTCAGGAGTTCGAGACCAGCCTGGCCAGCTGAAACCCCATCTACACTAAAAATACAAAATTAGCTAGGCATGGTGGCGGGTGCATGTAACCCCATCGACTTGGGAGGCTGAGGCAAAAGAATCACTTGAACCCAGGAGGCAGAGGTTGCAGTGAGCCAAGATCATGCCTTTGTAGTCCAGCCTGGGCAAAAAGAGAGAAAGTCTGTCTCAAAAAAAAAAAAAAGAAATACAGTTTTCAAAATCTGAAAGAGGTAATTTTGGAATAAATCAAAGACATTCCTTTATACAGAGGATCATAACCAAAAGGTTTCACAACCCATTGATTTACATGGTCTTCAAAGGATTTCACTGGAGTAAATAAATGGTTGATCCATGACATGTAATTAAGGAAAAACAGGGATAGCACTGTATACCTGTAATCTTCGGAGTCTGACATCACCAAGACACCTCTGCCCTTCAACACTTTTCATCAGTCTCACCATGAGAAGCACAGCCCTCAGCCAAATGGAGCCGGACTGACTGGCATCCATCATGTGTCACATGCTCTTGGTAGCTGCTGAGATAATCCTGTGTTCATAAAACTGCTGTGAAATCTGCCCAATAAACTGTTTCTTAATAGCTCTGACTCATTGTCTAACTTGATGGGGTTGGATAAGGGATTGTAAATGGTCTTTCAAAAAAATGTATCTGAGAGCATCTATCTACCCCTCAATCCACCCTACCTAAACTACCTGATTGTTCTTCTCACCCCTCTATCCAAAACAAAAACAAAAAATGACAGCAGAATAGGCTCTTAAAAGTTTCAGGTTAATTAGAAGTAAAATGCTAAAGTGGTTCCTACCTAATCTATGACAGTATATCCCAAATGTCAGAGCTTCTACAGGTCATGAGATAAGATCATATGCTTTTAAATGTCATTCTCCCAAAGTCTATAACCTCTTTTAAACATGCGATACTTTTCATGTCCTCCAATAAACAGCAAAACAGTGCAAAGGCGTGGAAAATGCAGTGTCCACAGTAAAATGGACAACATTTGAAATTCCTAGGGATCCGAAAGTGTCATAGTGTCATAATTTTACCTAAAACAAAAATGAGACAATACCTAGCACACATCAGATATTTTCAGATAGGAATTTCAGTACCATTATGACATAGCAAAAATGTAGGAAAACCAGAATCCTCACTAATGGCTGCTGAGAATGGAAACAGAAGGCTACTCTGTAACAGTCTTATAGCAGTTAATTTACAAACTCTGCATATATTCTATTATCCAGCAATCCCATTTCTGGGGATAGAGACAGAAAACGTCTCACACAGGGCCACAAGAAGATGTGTAGGACGATTCTTATTTCCAAGTTGTTTGAGGTAGCAAAGTGTCAAAGTTAGATTCCAGGACTACTAGAATGTATAAATAGAACGAAGGCTGTGAAGACACTACAACATTAGACAACAATCAGACATGATGAATAGATCATCATACGGTGACACAAAGAAGTCTAAAAACATAATGGTGAATGAAAAGAGTAAGAAACCATAAATATTACAGTGTGGTAGGAATTAAATAGATCTTAACAACCAACATATGCAAAGCAATATCATTTCAAGAATACACATATTTAATTAACAAGCAGAAGACAGATTAGAAAGACATACAATAAACACACTTTAGAATTAATAACCATAAGAGGAACAAGGGGGATGGGATGAAAGGGAAAAGAAATAAAAGGAAAAAAATAAAATAAAATAAAGAGAGACCTTGCTTAGAGAGAGCAAAATGACAATATTGTGACAAACTGAGGAGTATGTTTAATTTGATTCTGTGTGTCTGGTCCAATGTGGGAGGGGTTGAGAAGGACAAAGAAGAAAAAAGATAAGAAAACAGAAGAAAGAAATATTAGCCTCTTGATATTATAAAAACACAAATTAATGTGTTTTTATTTTACCATAAAACAATTCACTTTTGAACATTCAAAACTGTGGCATGTAATCATTTACCTAGTTGCCACTTTAACCCTATAGACTTTAATTCATCTAATGCAAGTTGGATACAAAAATGATTCTTTTTTCTGAGATATATAGTGTCAAAGCTTGTATTTTCCCATATAAAATGAAGCTCACTGCTTTGTAGCTTCTTATTCTCTTATGTCTGTCTAAAAACTTATAATGATAAGCAAAATTTTTAAATTATTTACAAGGATATTCTCAGTGTCAAATACTTATCTCCATATTCACTTATAAGTCAGTAATTCCACACACTATAATAACTTTTAGCCATCAACCCCGTGTTTCTAAATGTGCACCTCATTTTCTTTTTTTCTCTCTCTGTTATTTTGTGTCTCACACTTAAAGGCTTTTCTGGATTTATTCAAGAAATGGGAAAAAAGCGATATGTAAAAGAATTTGAGTCATGATGCAAACACTGTTTTATAAACTGCTTGGGGGGTGCTTTTGGGTTTGTTGTTTTATTTCATTTTAGGCTTTTTTTTACTTGATAATATGTTGTTAGTTTTTTCCAGTGTCATTATCCTTCCAGTATATACAACATATGATGTAGCTAAACTTCTACTACTGGATATTTTGATTCCTTCCAGGTCTTCAGTCTTCTAAATAATGCTACAGCAAACATAAAATGGATATAGTTTAATTTTAAAAGAGAATAAGGAAGTTTAAAAGAAGAACACATTAAAATAAATCATGCTTCCAAGAAAAACTGATAAAGGTCAGATATTTGTTCATATATCAGATGCTAGTCTTCATTGTTCTGTGAGGGCATTAAACTGGTTGCAATTTTTAGGTTAACAAAACACATCTGGCATTTTATGCAAGTAAGTAATAATTGTTTACATTAAGAACATGATCATTTGAAAACACTGTCTCTGATAAGTAAAGACAATTTGGGGAAAGACTCAAACACTTTTTTATACAGTTAAAAAGCATGGTATAATCCAAAACTCTCCCACCTCAAATGTCATAACACAGGATGAAATACAAGAAATAACAGTATGCTATCCAGAGCATGTGAGACCTAGGTTACGGTTTATTGCAAAACAAGCCAATCCAATTCAATAAATACTGACATAAGACACTGTCTTGTGTCCTGTTGTGCATACAAAAGTGAGCAAGATGGAGACCCTACTTTTAAGGCACTTACAATCTGGTACTTGTGTTAGAAGAAAAGCAGCTCTTTCATAGGAGCAAAGAGCTAATATAACACACCAGCACTTATTTTCTTAGTGAATCCTTTATAGGAAAAATTGTACTTGCCAAAGAAAATAGGCCAGGGATAGGGCAAATACATGGGACACAAGAAGGGATGAGAGCAGGACTGAAAATAGATCCAGATATGAAGAGTAATACTTCTCAAAAATGGCAACAAAAGCAATAAAGCAATAAGAATAAAAACCCAAGGGATAAGGCAAGTTAGTTTAAGGCCAAATGATGATGCCAACAGAAATATACACAAGAAACTATGAGGAGTCAGAGAAGGGAAAAACCTGTCTTGCTTAGGGAAGCATAAATACCTTCAGGTAGATGAGATCTGAGATAAACCTGGCATGAAGACGGGATGTCAGCAGTCCAAGAATAAGAAATGCGAGTGTGAGTATATCTGTGTTGCCTGGAACTCTCTATGGACCTGTTCCACAGGATAACGTCTACCATGAAACTCAGCTTTTTCTAACTTAAACTGCCTTCTGGGGGATAGGAGAGGAGCAATGCTTAATATGGCCCAACGATATCAGTGCTAGCAAAGGGACCCTCTCAACCAGAAGCCACAGATTTTCATCACTCCCATTTACCAATTTCCATACCTAGGAATGAAGAATGAATATGAGAATGCCTTCAGTAGAGGCAAAAATGAGGATGGCTAGAGGAGCATAGATTAAGGAAGAGAATGTTTGAGCAGATTATTTCTCAAGCCTGGATAGGCACCAGAATCATCTAAGCTGTTGGTTAAAAATACTGACTCCCTGCTTGACCCACCCACTTCAGAATCACCTACTGATTCTAATTCAGTAGGTTTAAGCGGGGTAGGAATCTGTTTTGCAAAACCTATTTAAGTGATTGCTATGTGCAGTCAGGTTTAAACTCAATGGTATAATATAAAATATCTACATTTCATGATGATGAAGGATATCTAGAGAGGGAAAGAGAGAGTTATCAACCAATCCCTTCTGTATAACATGGATGACTCTCTCTCTCTGCCTTTCTCTCTCTGTATGTACGTATATATACAGATATACATGTTCCTCTGATTACTCAGTACCTAGATTATTCTTGGCTCATGGTAGATGGTAGGTGATCAAAAAATATTTATTGAATGAATTGATTAATTCACAGATATATAAACAGTTATATACATAGAGAGGGAGAGAGTCATACACAGGGGATTGGTTCCAGGATCCCTGCGTATATCAAAATCCGTGCACACTCAAGTCCTGCAGTTATAACGCCCTGTGGAACCCACATATATAAAAAGTCAGCCCTCTGTACCCAAGGGTTTCATATCCCCTTGAATATCATATTTTTGATCTGTATTTCTCTAATACTATATTTCTGATCACATTTGGTTGAAAAAATTAACCTATAAGTGACCCACACTGTTCAAACCAGTGTTGTTCCAGGGTCAACTGTATATGCATTTAACCATTTTATATATACATATATATATGTATATATATAATGCTTCTCAGCATCAATGGGTAGAAAAAACAAATCACTATTTCTCTGGGCAAGTCCCTTAACATAGCTCTACCTCAGTTTTCTCATCTGAAAAACAGAGGATTTGGCCTAGAAAAAAAAAAAATCAGATTCCTTGTAGTTCTAAAATAACTTGGTTCAGTGCTTAGTTAAATGAGAGCTTTAAAGAAAAATTAACTCACGGAAAAAACATCCCATCTGGCCTTACTGAAATATTGTGAAAAGTTTTAGGTTCTAAATTAGTTCCTTATATATAGTTTCCTTTTCTTTTTTCTGATCCCCTTTTTTCTTAATATTCTCTTTAAGCTCACAGAAATGGCATATTTGTTTAAAGAACCATTATAATAATATAAATGTCAGATTCTGTTGTACATGAGTCAAACAATGTACCATTACCAAGTACATGTGGCTTACACAGGATATAAGAGCTTTATTTTATGTTCTTTACATTCTCATGGACCATGTTTAACTTGGCCAGGTGGTGTTTACTCTGTTTTATTCAAGACAATTTAGTTGTTCCAGAGGTGCTGTAGATCACATGCCACAAGTTGTTCCCTGATACAAGACGTTCCTCTGATTACTCAGCATCTAGACTATTCCTGGCTCATGGTAGGTCATCAAAAAATATTTATTGAATGAATTGATTAACTCACAGATATATACAAATCTTTCTTTTGGCAAAAGTTCTCACCAGTGGCTCTTAAGCTATGTGTTTCCATTGATAATTTAGTCTCCCTAATATTCTAACATAATTTTTAACTCTATGGTTTGTATATGGGAGTCCAAGTAAGCTTAAGCCTTTTAATTACATTCAGATTTTTGTTAAATTTCAGAAAAGATTACTTAGCTATTCTGTTACCTACCTGCAAGTGCTGCTTTTCTGCATGACGTCAGCTCGATGATATCCAGAGAGTTTACAAAAACCGTCATTACTATAAACTACAGGCCAATCCACAATCTGGGCATTTCCCAGTAAGAAACTTGATTCTGAAGAAGAAAGGAGAAAAAAGGAGGTTATTTAGCTTAATTCAACAATGCACTTATTTCAAGTAATCAAAAAGGCAAACTTATAAAGATGGACACATACAACTATGGTTTGTAATTGTACAAATAATATAACCTGTTCTTGAAACTGACATAACCAGGTTTGCATGATCATGAGACCTGCAATAAATATCGAATTTATATACAAACTAAAAATTCCATTTAAACGAAACCAGTTTATAATAATTCTTTCCATTCAAGTATACCCTAAGCTATGAAATCAAAGTGTAGTTAGTAATAAATAATGTTAATGACTATAAATTACACCTAAAAATTGGTTAATTTATTAAGATTAGGGCTATGGTCACTTCCCTACAAATTGAGAATATTGAAGTTGATAATAAAAGAAAATTGGATGACCCCCTGCAAAAATTATATTAATATATTGCTGACATGATGGAACAATTTTTTTGTCCATTAGACTAATCTTGAAAAGTCTAATTTAAAATAGAATTTAAAAGTCTTCCTTTAAATTAAAATTATTCAAAGATATTTTCAACCACATAATACAGATAATTTAGAAACTATCAGTATTCCAAATAAAAGAGATATTTTTGTTCTATTTTACACAGAAAAGTAGGTTTGCTTTTGTATAAATTAATATAAAATGATTGAAAATCCAATCATATTAGGCAGTAACTTTAGCAGTTTTGTAAACCACATGTTATATGTCAACATTAAAATGAATTAAAATTAAAATAATATTAAAATATATAAGTGAACACATTTTTAATATAAATAATTTAAAAGTAAAAATTTTTAAAGCAATAATATGCTTCAAAATTTCACCTAAGAAAATTTCCTTTGAACTCATACTCAGGGTAGTATACTAAAAATATAACAAATTTTTTAGAAGACTTTAAATCCTCATTCATAATTGGTCTTCATAAAAATAATAATGCAATTTAACATTTATTAAGTAGTTGCTGTATAAAAAACTGCTCTGGGTCAAACAGTGGGATAAAATAAAGATTAGTAAAACACACCCTTTGCTCTCAATAAGTGTGTATGTTGAAAACAAATATGTAACAACAAAATACAACTGCCAGAATAGATACTAAAGAAGCATGGGACAAAATATGAAAAGCAAAATCTGTTTGAAGCCACTAGGAAGCAACGGAAAGTAGGCACAAACTGGAAAAGATAAACCCTTGAAAAAGAGAGGCTTTATTAGCTGAGATAGTCATTTAACTGTCTATTCCGCTGAGAGCACTTGCCAGTTTGGGAAGTTCATGGTGTGAAAGAGCTCAAGCAGAAGTGTCTTACAAGTCTAAGGAGTCAAAGGTCACAATTTGGGGGTGGCAGAGCAACTTGGAGTTGGGGAAATCCTTTAATTGATGGAGTGATAAACTTCCGCATAATATACCTCAAATCCTTCTTGTGGCCAAAACTGGGCAGGCATAGGGTGAGACAATAAGGAATCCAGCAGACAGCAATGGTAAAGGGCTAAAGAGATGGATAGAAATTTCACCAGCTCCCCGAAGGTAGAAGATGAATTTCAGAGTTCAAGTCCCATCAAGCTAGAGAAGCTTGAAAAACACCTCAAGCCTTCCATCTAAACAGAGAAGGCCATGCATTAGGAGTAAGAAACAAGTCATAGGATGAACGGATATGCCCTGGGACTAAAATAAAAAATGTAGAAATTAGACCAACACGAAAAATAATCTTAAAATCAAGTCTCTTCATGATCAAGGTCATCCATCAGTAATTTAACTGCCTGATTTTTAAAAAAATGTAATTCTCCTCAGAGGAAAACAATGAAATCCCAAATCTCTACAATGTATTGATATAATGTCCCAGAAACAATCAAAAATTATTAGACAGGCAAGAAATGGAAAACCCTACAATTACTATGGAAAAAAGTAGGCAGTAGAAAAAGAAGTCAATAGGTAAACACAGAAATAATGCAATCTCTGAAATTAAAAATTTATTGGATTGGTTTAACAGCAGATTGGACACTAAAAAAGAAAGAACAATTTGAAAACACATCAATACAAGCTATTGCAAACTGAAGTAAAAGAGAAAAAGATTGAAGACATGTTCTGTGGGACAATATCAAGCAATCTAAAATATATGTAGTTGAGTCTGAAAAAAAAACAAAAGAGAGCACACATGTTATTGGACGATATGATAGCTAAAATTTTTCCAGATAGAATGAAAACTAGCAACTCAGTAAACCACAAGAGAGATAAACATAAACAAGCTACAGTAGGAATACCTTTCTTGGTCTTTTGTTCCACATCAAAAAGTGTTCTATTTTCTGCAAATTGATCTACAGATTCAATACAATCACAATGAAAATGACAACAGGCTTTTTTGAGGAAATTGAAAAATTATAAAAGTTTGTGAAAATGCAAATTAAAGTAGTTAAAAATAAAATATGAAAAAGTAGAACAAAGTTCTACTATAGTAATTAAGTAAACTATAGTAATTAAGTAAACTATAGTAATTAAGATGGTGTGGAAATGGAGTAAGGACAGACAAGTAGACCAATAAAACAAAATGAGTTCAGAAACAGGCCCTCACATACAACGTCAACAGCTTTTTTGCAAAGATGCCACGCCAACTGAATAGGTAAAGTCTTTTTCAATGAATTTTATTGAAACAACTAGATATCCATATGAGCAAAAATTGAAACATGACCCCTACCTCATACACAAAAATAATTTGAAGTGGGTCATAGATGTAAATATAAAAGGGAAAATTATAAACCTTCTAGAAGAAAACATAGAAGGAAATCTTTGCAATCATGAGGAAGACAAAAATTTCTTATATAAGCCTCATATAGCAATCACCATAAAAGAAAATGTTGATAAATTAGGCATCATCAAAATTACTGTCAACTACTCATTCAAGGACATTCTCAAGAAAATGAAATGGAAACCTACAGCCTGGGAGAAAATACTTTTGATACAGGTATCTGAGAAAGAACTCTTATCCAGAAAATACAAAATATTCCTACAAAAGAACAAACAACCCAAGTATCAAAATAAGCAAGTAACTTAAACAGACATTTCACACACAGAAAAGAGAAACAACAGCCAATGAGCACAAGAACAAGATGCTTACAATCATCATGCATCAGGAAACATGAACTGAAAGCACAACGATATACTGCTGCTCAATTACTAGAGTAGTTTTAAAGATTAGCAATACAACATTGTTGATGAGAATCAAGAACTAGTGCTCCTTATAAAATGCTAGCAAGAATGTAAAATGGTATGATCACTTTGGAAAACAGCTTCTTGTAAAGTTAAATATGTATCTATGACCCAGAAATTTCACTTCTAGGTATTTATGCAAGTGAAATGAAAACATATGTTTACAAAAAGACTTGGAGGAAAATGTTCACATCAGATTTATTCACAGTAGCCAAAAATTGGAAACAATGCAAATGTCTATTAAGAAGAGAATGGATTAGAAATTGTGCCATATTTACACAAGGAGTACTACTCAGCTCTAAAATGGAACAAAAAACTTCTGACACATGCAACAATATGACTCAAAAACATTATAAAACAGCCACTAAAGTAGGTATACTGTTTGATTTCATTAATATGAAGCTTAAATATAGGGAAAACTAATATTATATGATGATAGGGACCAGAACAATGATTTCTAAAGGGAATGGTGGAGGAAGTGACCGAAAAGATAAAAAGAACTTTCTGGCAAATGTAATTGTTCTCTATCTTGATAGAGGTATACGTTACACAGGTGTATACAATTGTCAAAATTCATTGAACTGTGCAGTTAAGATCTGGGCATTTTGCTGCATAAAAATTTTTTAAAACACACAAAGAGGACAATGGATAACTCCGTCTGACCAGAGAATCAGAAGTTTTAGTAAAACAATGGTACTTGAGCTTAACCTTAGTTATGAGGATGGTATTACTACATTTCTGTGGTACCTAGGGCAGTTAGAAATCAAAATGAGCTAATTTCTGCAAAAGTACTTCAGAAAGTATAAATTCCTCTATAAATAAATGATGTTTTCTTTTATTTATAGTATCAACTATAAATTTTTTAATATGACCATCAAAAATTGTTTTCTTTCTCGCCTTAGCCCAAGCCAGTTTACCCTCTCTAATCCATAAGCTGTCCACTTCATGACTAGATAACTGTGGCAGGCCATACAGCTACATGGTATCCCTGCCTTAACTCATTCCAATGTTCAGTCTTGTGATTAGGTGAATGCTAAATTGTCTCCCTGAAACCCTTCCTGTATCCTATCATTCTTCATCCAGATCAACAATCCCAACTGTTTATATAATCAAATCTCAAATCCTTTCCGAGGCTAACAAAGCCCTCTGAAATCCAGTCTCACCTTCCCTACCTATACAAACATGTTTCCCATTGTTCCTAAAGTCTATACTATTACAGTTAGGTCAGTCTCTTCATTATGTTCCGAAAATCTGCTCATTCATGCTGCCCACTATTCACTTGAAATACTTTTCTGACATCTCTTTGCCCATCAAAACACTTAAGAATCATCTCAACTCTACATTTTCTATGCCACATTCACTGAATACCACTCAGCCTACATCTCCTCTGGCTGCCACCGTATCTGTCTCCAACCATTCACAGGACAAACTTTCCACAGAAGTTGTCTATTCTCACTGACTCCATCTCCTCAGCTCCTGTTCACTCAACTCACTCCTATTTAGCTTCTTCCCTACCACTCCACCAAGACAGCCAAGTCACCAATAACCTCTCCCTATCGCCAAGCCCACAGGATGCTTTTCACTCATTTCATAACAATTCAGAAGCGTTGGTAACCACTCCCCTCTTAAAAGTCTCTCAATGCTTGGCTTTCACAGAACACCATTCACTTGTTTCTCTGAACATTCCTCTAGTTTTTTTGCAGGCTCACCATTCTTTACCAATAAGTATACATTAGAGTGCCTTCTTTACCAATAAGTAGACATTAGAGTGCCTAAGTCCTCTCCTTTCTTTACTCTTATATGCTTATCTATGTCCATAGATTCAGTAACTCATGATTGTATATCTCCAAACCAAACCTCTTCTGTAAACTCTCGATCTTGATATCCAAACTTGACCTCTTTTCTTAGCTATCTTAAATGTGCTTCAGTATAACATGATCATGACTTTTTACTCCTTCAAATTAGGTACTTTCCCACTGTTTCCTGTCTTAGAGAATGGGGCCACCATCCATACAATTTTATCAGCCAGTAATCTGGGAGCCATCAATCAACATTTATCCCATTACCCTCGTATCTAATTAATTACCAATCGCATTACTTTTATCTCCTAAAACTCTTTCAAATCTCTCTAGTTCTCTTCATCTCCATGATCATCACCCAACTCCAGCCCTCTATCATCTCTCCCCTAGACTACTCAGGTAACTGTCTGATTTACTCAGAACCTCTGTGGGAGTCCTTCAATGGATTTTTTATACTGAAGCCAAACGAGTTTTTTGTTTGTTTGTTTGTTTGTTTGTTTTTCAAAAAACTAAAATTGTATCATGTTTCCTCCCTCCTTTAACATCCTTCTTTTGGCTCTCATAAGACCCAAATCCTTTCCATGGCCCACAATGACTTCAAAGTCTGCCTAGCCTTAGTTCTCATCACTCTGACCCTTGCCCACGATACTCGCCTACAATAGCCTCATTGACTTTTCTTATATTCTTGTAAAAGCCAAGTTCTCTCCCAGCATAAGGACTTTTTATTTGCCATCATCTCTGCCTAAATACCATTCCTTTCCCTCCTCACCTTGTCACCTTCATTTATTTAGATCTTAACTCAATTGACATGACCTCAGGGAATCTTTCCCTGACTGCTGATGAGGTTATATCCCTGTTATATAATTTTTTGACATGATGTACCTCTCCTTCACAGCCATTCACAAGTGCAGTTTTACACCTATTTGTGTCATGACTTAATTAATGTATATCTGGCCAGGCACGGTGACTCACACTTGTAATCCCAGCACTTTGGGAGGCAGAGGCAGGTGGATCATGAGGTCAGGAGATCGAGGCCAGCCTAGCCAACATGGTGACACCCCATCTCTCCTAAAAATATAAAATTAGCCGGGCATAATGATGCACACCTGTAGTCCCAGCTACCCGGGAGACTGAGGCAGGAGAATAGCTGGAACATGGGAGGTGGAGGTTACAGTGAGCCAAGATCATGCCACTGAACTACAGCCTGGGCAACAGAGCAAGACTACATCTCAAAAAAAAAAAAAGAAAAAATTAATGTTTATCTGCCTATTGGATTATAAGCTCTACAGGGATAGAGCCCATGTAAGTTTTTGCTCACATTTGATTTCTCATTGCCTAGCACAGTGCCTGACACATAGTAAATGCTAATTTAATGGTTGATTATATGAATAAGCCAATGAACTAATACATTTTTGCAGGGTTCTCTTTTTATATAATTGGTATTATAAAATTTATTAAATAATGTCTTTCTAAATATTCCATATATGCTAACTTTGTCTTTTCATATAAATCACATATTCCTCAGGATTATAAATTATATGCCTAGTCTGCATACAGGAATTTCAATATAATCATCCAGACAGAAAATCAATAATGAGACATTGGACTTGAACTACACTTTAAACCAAATGGACCTGACAGATATAGATATATAAACATTCCACCCAAAGACAGTAAAATACATATTCTTCTCAAGTACAGAAAGTTGAAGTTCTCAACACAGAATATTCTGCAGGATAGATCAACTCTTAGGCCACAAAGTAGGTCTTAACAAATTTAAGAAAATTAAAATCATATAAAGTATCTTTTCTGACCACAAAGTTATAAAGCTACAAATTAATAATATGAAGAATTTTAGAAAATTTACAAATATGTGGAAATTGAACAATATACTCCTAAGGAACCAATGGGTCAAGGAAGAAATTTGAAAGGGAAATTTAAAAATATCTTGAGACAGGCTGGGCGTGGTTGCTCATGCCTGTGATCCCAGCACTTTGGGAGGCTGAGCCAGGCAAATCATGAGGTCA
This sequence comes from Homo sapiens, assembly GCF_000001405.40. NCBI lineage: Eukaryota > Metazoa > Chordata > Mammalia > Primates > Hominidae > Homo > Homo sapiens. Next base: position 63,023,999 of record NC_000014.9, read on the forward strand.
GGCATTCAAGACCAGCCTGCCCAATATGGTAAAACCCTGTCTCTACTAAAAAATACAAAAATTAGCTGGGCATGGTGGCACACGCCTGTAGTTGCAGCTACTCAGGAGGCTGCGGCAGGAGAATCACTTGAACCCGGGAGGTAGAAGTTGCAGTGAACCGAGATCATGCCACTGCACTCCAGCCTGGGCAATAGAGTGAGACTCCATCTCAAAAAATATATATATATATATCTTGAGACAAATGAAAACAGAACCACAACATACCAAAACTTAAGGGAAGCAATAAAAATCGTTTTTAGAGGGAAGTTTATAGCAACAAGTGCCTACATGAGAAAAGAAGACCCTAAATAATCAACTAATATTATAGCTCAGTGAACTAGAAAAAGAAGAACAAACTAAGCCCAAAGTTAGTAGAAGGAAAGAAATAATAAAGATTTGAGCAGAAATAAATGAAACAGAGACTAGAAAAACAACTTTAAAAGGTCAGTGAAACTACAAGTTGGTTTTTTGAAAAGATAAGCAAAATTGACAAACCTTTAGCTATACTAAGGAAAGAGAGAGAAGACTCAAAAAAATCAGAAATCAAAGAGGAGACAATACAACTGATACCACAGAAATACAAAGGATCATAACTATTATGAACAATTAAAATCCAACAAACTGTCTAATCTTGAAGAAATAAATTTCTAGACACATAGAGCCTACCAAGACTAAATCATGAAGAAAAAGAAAATCTGAATAGACCAATAACAAATAAGGAGATTAATCACTAACAAAAATTCTCCCATCAAAGAAAAGCCCAGAACCTGATACTTTCACTGCTTACTAATTCAATCTTTCTCAAACTCTTCCAAAAAATTAAAAAGGAGAGAAAACTTTCAAACTCATTTTAGGAGGCCAGCATTACCCTGATACCAGACAAGGAAGCTACGAAAATAGAAAATTATCTGCCAATATCCCTGAAGAACATAGATGCAAAAATCCTCAATAAAATATTTTCAAACCAAATTCAACAACACATAGAAGGATAATTCACCATGATCAAGTGGTATTTATTCCTGAGATGCAAGGATTGTTCAATATATGCAAATCAATAAATATGATAGACCACATTAGCAGAATGAAGGACAAAAACTATAATATTGATTCAATAGATTTAGAAAAGGCATTTGAAAAATTCAACATTGTTTCATGATTAAAAACTCTCAACATATTAGGTTTAGAAGTAATGTACCTCAACACAATAAAGGCCATAACAAGCTCTAACATCATACTCAATGACAAAAAGTTGAAAGTTTTTCCTCTAAAATCAGGAACAAGACAAGGATCCTGTTCTTACCACTTCTGTTCAATTTCTAGCTGAAATCCTAGCCAGAGCAACTGGAAAGAGAAAGGAAATAAAGCCTTCCAAATAGGAAATAAAGAGGTTAAATTGACTCTGTTTGCAGACAATATGATCTTATATGTAGAAAAAAACTAAAGACTCAACCAAAAAACTGTTAGAACTAATAAACAAGTTCAGTAAAGTTGTAGGATATGAAATCAACATATGAAAAACAGTTCTATAACAACAAGCTATCCAAATAAGCAATCAAGAAAACAATACCATTTACAATAGTAACAAAAAAAAAAACAGTACTTAGGAATAAATTTAACCAAGAAGGTGAAAGATCTATACACTGGAAATTGCAAAACATTGATAAAAGAAACTGAGGAAGACACAAATAAAAGGAAATATATCCTGTGTTCATGGACTGGAAGAATTAATATTGTTAAAACGTCCATACTACCCAAAGCAATCCACAGATTCAATGTAATTCCAACCAAAACCCCAAAGACATGTTTCACAGAAACAGAAAAAAAAAATCCTAAAGTTCATCTGGAACCACAAAAGACCCCAATAGCCAAAGTAATTTTGAACGAAAAGAACAAAGCCAGAGTCATTATACTACCAGATATCAAAATCTACTACAAAGTTATAGTACAAAAGCAGCACGGTACTGGCATAAAAATAGACACAAAGACAAATAAAACATAATAGAGAGCCCAGAAATCAAGCCACACATTTATAAACCATTGATTTTCAGCAAAGATACCAAAAACATACAATGAGGAAAGGGCAATCTCTTCAATCAAGGATGTTGGGAAAACTGGATATCCCACATCAGAAGAATAAAATTAGACGCTCATCTCACACCATATATACAAATTAACTCAAAATGGATTGAAGACTTCAACATCAAACCTGAAACTATAAAACTGCTGGAAGAAAACATAGAAGGAAAGCTACAAGACATTGGTCTGAGCAAAGATTTTTTGGGTCTGACTTCAATAGCACAGGTAACTAAAGCAGAAATTACCAAATGAAATTACATCAAACTAAAAAGCTGTACAGCAAAGGAAACAATCAACAGAGTGAAGAGACAACCCATGGAGTAATAAAATATATCTACAAACCAAACATATAAGGGGTTAATATGCAAAATATATAAGAAACTCAACTTGATAGTAAGAAAACAAATAACCAGATTAAAACATGGGCAAAGGATATGAATAGACATTCCTCAAAAGATGAAATGCAAAGAGCTAACAGTTACATGAAAGAAAGCTTAACATCACTAATCATCAGGGAAATGCAGATTAAAACCACAATAAGATGTTACCTCATACCTACTGGAATGGCTATTATCAAAAAGACAAAAGATAACAGCTGACCAAGATGCCAAGAAATGGGAACTCTTCTACACTGCTGGTAGGAATATAAATTAGTACAACCATTATAGAAAACAGTATGGAGGTTCCTCAAAAAATTAAAAATAGAACCACCATATGATTCAGCGATTCCACGACTCAGTAAATATCCAAAGGAAATTAAATCAGCATGTCAAAGAGCTATCTGCATGCTCATGGTTATTGCTCCACTATTTACAGTAGCTAAGATATGGAATCAACCTAAGTGCCAATCAACAGATGAATAACGAAAATGTGGTATATATGCCTAATGAAATATTATACAGCCTTTAAAAAGAAAGGAGCATTGTCATTTGTGACAACATGGATGAACCTGGAGGACATTATTTTAAGCGAAATAAGTCAGACATAGAAAAACACCATATGATCTTACTTACATGTGCAATGTAAAAAAAGTCAAACTCATAGAAACAGAGAAAAATGGTGGCTACCAAAGGCTGAAGGGTGGGGACATTGGGGAGATGTTGGTCAAGGGACAAAAATTTCAGTTAGACAGAAGGAATAAGTTTGAGTGATCTACTATATATCAGGTTAATGACAGTTGATAGCAATATATTGTATATTTGAAAATCTCCAAGGGAGATTTTAAGTGTTCTCACTGCAAAAAATAAAAGTGACAAGTGAGGTAATGAATATATGAAATAGCTTGACTTAGCCATTCCACAATGTAGACATATATCAAAGCATTATGTTTCCTAGACTATCTTTTTAAAAACTTCAAGTTGGTTTGAAAAAAAAAAAAAAACTCTGAGTTGTTATGTCTGATTGACTATGTGAGCAAATACTTTAGGGTATACTATACCTGGCAAATACTTGAATTGTCCATATTCTATATTATTGATTAAAATGTAGATATTTTGAAAAATGGTATTGAAGAGAAGGCAAAGTCTTATTGTATACTATAAACATATTCAATTTTTACTTGTTGATTTTTTAAAAAATTTTTAAGAAAAGTATTGCAATATAGTAATTATTTATTGGTTGAATGAATTGCTAGTATTCTAGGAAAAAGGACCCCACAGGCTTAAAAAAGAAAGACTGTAAACATTAAGGGCCGGCTGATCTAACAAATAGTGTTTTTCAAACTTTTTTTATTAAAGCTCATAGTAAGAAATAATATTTACATAGTGACTCAAGTGTATATACATATGTGCAGACATGTATATACACAATACACAATTGAAAAAATTTCTCAGACTACATTTACTCACTACATGAGAGGTACTCTACAATTTCTAACCTATTTCAATTTTGGCTGCATTAATCAAGACCTGTTAAATCAATTTCATAGCCCAATGAAGGGGTGTACCTTACAATTTTAAAAGCATGCTTTAAACAACTCTGCAAAGGCTTTACAAACCTCTCTCTCTCTCTCTCTCTTATAAACAGACTAGTTTTCAAGACATTTGTTAGGATTTGGATCATTCTAACTATTTCATATGAACTCTGCCATTAAAAACATTACCCTGCCCCCATCATACCATTTTCAACAGCTCTACAATGGGAACGTTCAGACTCCAGCTCAGCAGGGTCCAGCTATCACTACCCATCTGTTAATATGTTATTTCACTTACACTTGAGTAACTCTGTGTAGTAACAAAATTAATAACAAAAGCAACCATTAGTGGACTCCTACTCTATGCTAGGTATTGGGCCTGATGTTGTACATGTTATCCCTAATCAGGAAAACTTCATTTCTTCCTTCACTGATCACTCATCAGGCAATAAGTCACAGACTCACAAAGCCGCGATTCCCAAGGTCAGAAGTGGCAACTAGAACACATGTTCCTTAAATTCTAATTCTTGGCTGAAATAATTGCAAATTTAAACTCTTCCTAAGTAGTCTAGGAAATTCTGTCTCTTTTTTTTGCTTTAGATGGAAAAGTAGGAAGACTAGGAAGGAAGGAAAAGTCCTAAAGCAACTCACTGCAGGGAGAACTAACTCTTCCTGTTAGACTGGAAGCAGAGTTGTTTAGGGAGAAGAACACAGAAGTTAGAATCAAAAGTAGGTAATTAAGACTTTGCTTTTCTCTTCAATCCCATTTTTCAAAATATCTACATTTTAACCAATAATATAGAATATGGACAATTCACATATTTGCCAGGTATACCCTAAAGTATTTGCTCACATAGTCAATTAGACCTCAGACCTAACAACTCAAAGAGCGTTTTTCAAACCAACTTAAAGTTTTTAAAAATGTAGTCTAGGAAATATGCTCTCCATTCATCTTTATACTTGAAGTTTAAGTCCAGTAATTGAGACCATCAAAGAGTTAAGTAATTGGACTGTGCTCACCAGACCTTACCTCGAGGCCTTAATAATTGCATTTTAACTATATGCACTCTGAGTTTATGGAGGACAAACATGAAAACTGCTTTTACCATTTCTGAACGTTTTATAAAACCGTAGTTGAGTAAAGCAGACATGGTGCTAAGTCTACTTTATATGAGATGTTATCAAGTGGTAAACATTTCTAACAATCAATATACCACAAGGAGCCCTGACTCAAATATTCTCCCAGAACTTGGATCCCTTCTCCGTACCACCAAGTAAGTTTCTGCAAAAAAGCTGGTGAGTTCCAATTAGGCTACTGGTTGCCTGATATACAAACTGGTGACAGTAATACCCACCATTCTGGATAGTTACGGAGACTAAATAAAGTAAGCAGTCTTTATAAACTATTAAAGCAAAAAGCATTTATAAGCTATTACTATTATGTACAAGATTAAGTTACTGAGTTGTATATGCAGAGGTATCTTGGTGTGTTTGTGGCGGGGGGGATGTATGTATGTATGTATGTAAGAGAAGAACCTAGAAAAAATAAACTGTTAAATGTTGACCTGCAAACCAAAACCTATAAAATTGTATTTATCACTAAGAACTAAACTACAGAATAAAATACTTGAGAAAAATGAGAAGAAGAGAGGGAGACAGATTTTTTAATTAAGGCTAAATTAGATAGAAATTGCTGAATATTAACAATCCAGAGGTTTCTTTTTGAAATTTCTCTATTCATTGAAACACTCTCTATGTATATGAAATATTCATATAACTGTTGCATTTCCCTGTAGTCATGAAAATTCTTATTACAACAAATGAAAAATATATTATTAATAAATATTAAGAACAGAATAGCAAATTAATTAAAATTGCTTCCCAGAAAATTTTAATTTCTTTTAGCTTTAAAACATGTTGAGGAAAAGAAATCTGATTACAGAGGAATAACTTCCTTGAAAACAAATGAGTTACAAATCTAGAAAGTAAGAGGGTTTAGAAGTTTTGGAAAAGTGATGCCTTTAAAGAAATTGCCCAGAATTTCAGTGACCATCACCCATTCTTATCAACCAATCTTGACAGGGAAACCAGTTCTGGTTTGTCCTCACAGCTCTTAAAGGACCTTGAGCCATGAATTCTGGAAAATTGAACTTTCCTTGAGATCCAGATTGTTTCATTCCTTAAAGATGTTTACAAACATTCCATCTCCAAAGGGATCAGACACACAATATGGTCCTGAATGAGGTGCCTAAGAACCAGGGCATTATCCCCACCAGGAGGCAAGGATTTCAGAAGCTGTAATTTCACAAGTCAGCAGATTCTGGAATGCATCCACAAGGGGCTAAGACTTGAAAACAACTCATTATATTCATTCAAGACTATGCAGTATCCTATCAGAGGAGAACATAAAATAAAACAAGCACTTTTTCTTCAAGGGTTAGAAGGTTAAAAACGAATCAAAGACCCTTAATTCCAAATGGTCCCCTAGAGATTATTACCAGTGTTTCTCAATCTTGACTGCACAGTTGAGTGGAGTGAAAGTTGAGGGAGATTGGAGGGGGCCACCTAGGAGTTATTCATCCCCGTCCCCAAATGCCAAAGATTCTGTTTTAATTGGTCTTGAGTAGAACCCAGGCATCAATACTTATTGTTAAGTCTTTCAGGTAGTTTTAATGTGCAGCCAGGGTGGAGAAGCACTAATCTAGAGCAATAATTCCTAAATGCTGGCAGCTGCAATAGAATCTTGTCACCAGTGTCAAAAATAGAGATTGTTAAATTCTAATGCAGATGCTCTGAACTGACTCCCTCAGAGGTGAATGTAAAAATACAGACATAGAGGTAAGTCTCATGCTCAGCCAAGTCTGGCACACTTTGATCCAGTGCCTTGCTACTCAAAGTATGGGCCAGCATCACCTGGGAGTTTATTGGCAATGCAGAACCTGGGACGCACCCCAGACCTTCTGAGTTAGAACCTGCATTTTAACAAGATCCTCAGGTGACCCCAAAATGCACCCATCTTCTGCTTTTCCTTTCTTTTAGGGATGGGAAAACAGACCAGGAAAATTAAAGACTCATCCAATATAGGAAAAGAGTATCTAGTAGGGGGAAAAGAGTATCTAGTAGGGGAAAAAGACAGGACCAGGCCTCCCTGTCTAAGACTTTCTATTCTGTCAGACTATATTTCTGAACTGCTAAGTTTTTGTTTTATTTTGTTTTAATATAAGGAGGCACTTCCTCTTTATAGAGCAATTTATTCAGACAACAGGAAAATAACTACACTTAGGTTAATACTACTACATATTAATTCCTAAAGGAGTTCATACACAAATCATGGGATCAATAATCCTGGCTGATAAAAAATTCTGGACAAAGGAAGGTTATATTCAGTCAATAAAGGCAATATAAGAGCATGTGGGATGTTTCCTCCCTTTCTATAGCAATTCCAGGAGAAAAAAAATGATTTCCTCGAGCTGCTCCAACATGATCGGACTGGTTTTTGTTTTGTTTTTATGAAAATCATATCCTTCTCGGATCCAGAAATCTCATGTACATTAACAAGGGTGGTGGGGAGGGGAAGGAAATGGGAGAAATCAAAGGATACAAGCTGGCAGTTATGTAGGATAAATAAGTCTAGGGATCTAATGCACAACATGAGGACTACAGTTACTAATATTGTACTTACTAATATTGTATTGTATGTTGAAAATTTGCTAAGAGAGATTTTAGCTCTTACCACACACATACAAAAGGGTAAATATGGAAGATGATGAATAGGTTAATTTGCTGGACTGTATAATCATTTCACTATTTATATGTATATAAAAACAATGTTACAGGCCTTATATATATACAATTTTTAAGACGTGTAGAAAAAAAGGGTGGAACAGCTTTTTAGGGGGTTAAGCCTCTGGCTCCCTCTCCTTTTTACCTTTTTTATGCAAATTACCCCCAGAGAGAAATATTTCAGAGGACTAGCAGTTTTTAAGTATTTTAAGTAATAATAATAAGACACACAAATTTTAGAGTACTGAGGAACAAAGAAAATGGAGAGGAGTTGAGAAGAAAAAGGACTTCACAAAAAAAAAAAAAAAACTTTCACTAATTTATAGATTTGCCAAGATCCAGGACGGCATGTGAAGAAAGTCAGCTGCGTTTTCCCTCTGACTGTATTCATGTAGTTCTAACTTTGGAGAAGGACACCACCCAGAAACCACAGCTCTCGCTCTCAAAGCCCTCAAACCCCGGAACACACAGCTCTTCCAACAGAAACGAAGTGCAGGCAAGACTACAAACCCAGATAAGGGCTATTTCAAGCTGCTCTTCCAGATCACTGGGGCTTCAGTGAGGAAGAATCAGTGCAGGCAGTCGCAGCTTCAAGTATCGACCCACCCTTCACAGTGCTCCCATTCAAAGAACACACATTCCAAAAATCGATGCCTATGAAGGAAAATCTGAAGCAAAAGTGACCCATTAAAACCATGTAGCAATCACTAACTTTTTCTAAAAGGAGTTGGCTGCAGAGGCCTTTTCAACAATGCTTATTGTCAAATATTTATTATAAAGTTAGGTTTAGTTTGGGGTTTGGGTTTTATTCAAAAGTTTACTTAGTTTCTTATCCAAATCAGTTTCTTATCAAAATCTGAAACTACATGTTTCTAATCCACAAGAATGACCAGACTGTCCAAGCTAATTACCCGGATCTTTTCTGAACTCTGCAAATGGAATGCAGAAATCACATCTGTACACACTTATATTGAGCTAAGCTGTCTTTGGCTGCATTATTCTTTTCTTCAAGGGAATGAAAAGGGAGCTAGATGACAGCGATGATGCAGATGGTCTTTAGAGTTTCATTCCAAGCGTGGCCTTCTTCCAGTTTTTCCCATCTCAAGGATATCTTCCCTACCTCCATCTGCACGCAAATGCTTGGGCCAAAACCTTGGGAGTCATCCTTCACACCTCATCCATGTCATCCAATCCATTACTAGATCCTAATAATGCTACCAACAAAACATATCTGATACATCCATTTCTCCCCATTTCCACTACTACCATCCCAGGCCAGACCACCATCATATCTTGCGTCGACTACCGCAAGACCAGACCTAACTGGTCTCCCACTCTTTCTCCTCCTCCCCTCAACCTTTACGGAAGTAGCTTTTGGGACTATGAGGTTTTTCCACTGCACTAGGAATAAAACACAAAATCTTTCCCCTGAACAGCCAGGCCCCTAACTGTCACTCGCCCTTATCTCCTGTCTTTCTTCTGGTTTCACCCAAGGCAATCTAGCTGCGCTAGTGTTTAAGCTTCACAAACTTAGCCATTCATTTTCTTTTTCTCCTTAGGAATGTTCACATGCTTTCTCTTTGCCTGAAATATTCTTCTTCCCACTTATCCTCTTGTTACCTCTCACTGTAGGTATCAATTTAACACTACTTCTTTAGAAAGGCCTCCCAATTGGAATTAGATCCCAATGCACACGATCATCAAACCCTCCCCTTTTCATCCAAAATGCTTACCACAATTTGTAATTATATATTTGATGTAGGCTTGGTGAACGCCTGCCTCCCCTACCAGACTCTGAGTTCCATGAGGTCAGGGGCCGTGTCTATTTGTTCATTACTGTACACTCACAAATGTTTTATGAATATATCAAATAAAAAATTCTGCTTCCTATTTAAAGTCATACAGTCAGTCAATAAATAGTTATAAAGCAATTCTTAGACATTGTTAAGAAGGTAGATAAGGACCATGGCAGGTATTTTTTTTTTTCAAGGAATTGGCAATAAGTTAAAGAAAAAAAAGGAGGGGGTGGGTGTTGCTAAGCAGATATTCCCCCGCTTTGAATGGCCTCTAGAAACTTGTGAATTTAAATCATGCAGTCTGTATTATTTTTGTTTGTTTGTTTTTTGCTTTGAGACAGAATCTTGCTCTGTCACCAGGTTGGAGTGCAGTGGCGCAATCTCAGTTCACTGCAATCTCCACCTTCTGGGTTCAAGTGATTCCCCTGCCTCAGCCTCCGGAGTAGCTGGGACTACAGGCATGCACCACCAAACCCGGCTAATTTTTTGTATTTTAGTAGAGGCGGGGTTTTACCATGTTGGTCAGGCTGGTCTCGATCTCCTGACCTCGTGATCCGCCTGCCTCGGCCTTCCAAAGTGCTGGGATTACAGGTATGAGCCACGGCACCCAGCCTGTATTATTTTTTAAATGTGTCTTCTGGATGAATGATACCTATAGATCTATTTAAGTTTCATAGAACAGTAATAGTGGAAAAATCTGAAGCATATATAGCAATTGTATTTGGGTTAAATAAAATCTTGGTACAGATGGCTAAACAAAAGCACAATCATGCCCACATCCACAATGTTGATTTGTTGTATGTGCACTGCCCATTTCTATGTCAATGACAGAATGTAAGGCTGGTCTCCTTCATGTTCTTACAAAATACACCTGTATCCTACAACAATCCTCTAGCAATATAGCAAATGTGCAGACATACTTCGTACCTTCCACAATGACACTAATTATTACCCAATAATATTGGCAACATTAAGCAGACCATCACTGTAGGAGTTTGAAATATGCAAAAATATCTGTTAATTTATTCAAACTTGTTCAGGTGTCATGAAAGATAAAAATATGCTTCCACTTTCTATCTCCTTCACGATCAAAGGTACATTTTTTAAGTGTCTGTGTTTCTTTGATGGCATTAACTTCATTTTTTCATCCAGCTACAGTGGTTCAAAATGCATGAGATACTTTAACATATATTTCTGAAATTCTAGTGGTAGGAATAATAGCAACTTTGCTATTAAAAAAGATTTCTCCACAAAATGTTTAACAATTCAATGTTTCTACTTTTAATAGTTGGTGTTTTGTTCATGAAAAAATGAGTTTCTAAAATGTAAACTGGTCAGAATCATTAGAAGCAAAATATAATTGCAATAATGGCCTATTTGATGCATAACATCATAATACAACAGAAAACTTTCACCCTGATATAATGATAACATTTTACTAAATTATATTGCAATGAAATTTCTTAAAATACCTGAAGCTATAAGACTTATGCTAGTTACATAATCTTGGGGAATAAAAGCTAAATCAGTCAAGATGTATTTATAAGAGGAAAAAAGTATATATTTAATGTTTAAGCATCATTTTAAATCCTACAAATAAAGATTTTTGCAAATGGACTGCATCTTTTCTGAGGAGATTATATATTTTCTTTGAAGTTACCCTTTAATGGCAATTAAACACTAATGGCAAGATAAATGATGAAAAACTTCAATTAAAAAGCTGGTCCAACCTGCACACATGATAGAAAAACACAAAGAGGCTTTTCTGAATGCATTCACAATCCAGTTAATTTTCTAAGGCTTTCTCCTGTATGTTTTTAAATTTCTACACTCTATGTAACAGGAGCTAATTGTTCAAGAAAGAGTTACAGAGCTACAAATTCAATTCATTTCTCCTTTGGCAGGATTTCACTAGGATGGTTATAAGAAGAGGCTGATGTTTCTGCTTTATTCCTCAGTTTGTCCAAGAATTATCAGGTATTGAAGTAAGCAGAACTGATACTTCTTTTGCTCTAGGCAGTAGGTTTTTGTTTGGGGCGAGGATGGACAGAGGTGTGTTGTTTGTTTGGGTTTAGTATTCTCTCCAAGGTAAGCCCTTAGTAAATTGAACTCAAATGCTTTTAAGCTCAGATCCACCAGTTTCTGCTGGGAAATTCTCAACTACTTAATTTCTTGCTTTCTTCAGGTTAAAAAAAATCTCCCCTACCTTACCTTATCTAGAGTAAGTCCTTACTGAGATGATCCACTACATCTGGGGCTTCACCAAATCTTCTGAGCAACCCTGTAAGGTAGGTGTCCTAATTCTGGAGAGCCTCAGTGTGTCACCAGGAGTAAGGGCTAGACAGGAGTCTGTGTTGTCAAGAACTCAACACCTTTGCTCTTTCCATCCCAGCACTGTGCCTGATAGCACAGTTGAGAGCACTGCTCTGTGAGCCTTGGAAATGCCCTCATAGAGTTCCAGAAAGATTACCAGTTACCTTGATGATGTTTGCTCTAGTACAGACAGAAGCTGTTTTAGGAACGAGCAAGGGGAATATGTCACACATGTCATTCCTCCCTCTTGGAGACCTTTAGTTTCTGAGGTCAGTTAATGAGGCAGCTCTTTCCTTCTGACCTGTAGTTCTTTCTTTGGTCCATCACAGTTAGAGACACTGGCTGTATATGATGTCAGTTATGAACATGCTTCATGTCTTAAGATGAGTCAGTATAGTAAATGGGCATGAATTAACTTACTCTGCACACAGCACTTACAGGAGACACAAAAGAAAGCTAAGGACTGATAATCTAGTTGGAAAGTAAGACTAACATTATACTGAATGGAAAGTCAAAGATGACCCTAACACTTCTAGAGTAAAAAACAAAAATACTAAAGACACTTTGAATAGAAACGGGAGATACAAAAAAAAAAAAGTCAATCTGAGGCCAAAAGCAAATAAATTCTATTCTGCCTACACTGAGTTTTAGATGACTTTTGAGTAGTACAAGAAGAGAAATCCTGTATACCTTTGGAAATACAGACCTGGGGCACAGAGAAGATAAAGTTTAAATTATGGCAGAAGACAAACTTTCCCTGAAAAGTAGGATGGAGATGCAAGAAAGAAAGTTGAAGGGAGAACTTGTGGGACTACTCAACTCATTCTTTAGGAAGGAAAAGGAGAGGAGGGAGGAGGAGAGGAACAAAAAGGGAAGCCAGTAGAAAGGGCAGCAGGGCTTGTAAGCTCATGATAGCTATAAGATGAATGGTGGAGAGGGTAGGGGAATATAGTTTCAAACCTTGCAAAGTCAGAAAAAATATGGACCAAGAAAAGATCTTAAGATTTACGAGAAGAATGCGCACTCATAATTTTCTAGGAATTTTCAGCATTATGGAGGAGGCGGAAATTAGTTGAAAAGAGGTGCAGAAGGAAATGGTGACTAAGAATTAAAAACATCAACTATAGAAAGTGCATTCAAATATTTAAACAACTAAATGATAATAATAACTACTGGCATGATATAATGCTTATTTATGTGCCAGGCACCGTTCTCCGTACTTACATGTACTGCCTAACTTAATCCTCACTCTAACCCCATAAACTAGGTACTATTATTACTTGTATTTTATAGATAAGGAAACTAGGTACAAGTAAGTTAAGTCACCGAGCTAGTAAGTGTCAGAGCCAGGACTCTAATACAGGCCTCTAGAAACTTATAAATATGCACATGCCCTCCACAGAAAAACAGGAGAAACATTGTTTTTGTCACTGTGTTCATTATGAATCCCTAGTGCTAGATCCCTGCCTAGCACATAGTAGGTACTCAATAAAATGGTGTTGCATTAATGGATAATTAACTAGAAAGGGCATGAGAGCCAAGCAAAAGGATCAGCGTTGTATTTCGGAGTCTTTATTCTGAGACTCTTTAACCCCCATTGAGGAACTCCTCTATTTTTTCAATGCTTGTAAATGTATAAAAATAAAATCATTGTGCTTTAATTTTCCCCCAAATTTAAAAAATAAAAATAAATGCCAGCAGACCAAAAAGGGCTTACAGAAAAGATCAGGACAAAGGTTAACTTTTCCCCTCAATCCAAGTGAGTTGTTCGATTTTTAGTTAGATATGGCAACCTGAGGCTGGCCCTGCAGTCTCTAAAAATCTAAAACTCATTTTCCTCTTCTGCTGCATACTGCACAGGGCTGTAAGCTGCTCCCCAAGGCAAAACTCACTCAGAAGGTACTTAAGCAGGTAAGGATTGATTCCCAGGGATAAAACTCACCATCAATAACTGCTAACTGCAAAGTTGTTAAAATAATTTAGTTAGAATCTACAAATTTTTAAGCAGTTCTTTCTGGTATTAAATAGTCCAGCTTTCAAGCTCTTGACAACTGAAACAAAAATGGTAGAAAATATTTCAGCCGCACCTCAATTTGGAATAGGAAGTGAACATGGGATCCATTTCATATTCCTTTCTCATCCTCTCAGAAGTACCATCTGATTTGCCCTATGCAGTGTGGTTTCTGTTTTCAGATATATGCATTGATTAACTAAATAGTTTAAACTATGTAATTACTTATTCAAGCTCACTTAATAGATTTAATCAGCATTGGCTTGGGGAAAGAATTAATTATGGTCTTGGTTACTTTAGGAGACAAAAATCAAAAAAGCATTTATTCAACGAATACTTACTGCTATGTGCTCTGCACAGTGGAGGACATAAAAGTCTTTTTAAGATATGACCCATATCCTCAGGGAGCTTAGTTCATATACCAAAATTTTCATGACTTCCCAATTATATGTCCTTATATCTACAAGCTGTTATGATTATGCACATAAGCTCAGATCTCAAATTGCGTATCTTTTGAGATCCATATGACTTTGTACTTAATAGTTATATTTCTGTAATGGGACCAGACCCAAAGAGAGAGGGAAATCTATTTTCAATAAAATTTCCAATAGCTTTCTAACCACACTTTCTTTCTAAATTACTGTGCTCATTAATTTTCCTCTTTTTTCTTTTGTCAACCTAATATATCACAAAACTACTATCTAGAATGTATATAAATATGTCTCTTTACTAGGTAATAGTATCCACATATAACCAAACACTAAAATGATGTCTAAAATACACACTGATCTATGTGACAATAGTTATTACTGCCTCCATTTGATCAAATATATTTCAAGACTCAGCCTTTCTAATATATTAGTTTCTATATTATATAAAATAGGAATATTTAAATGATTCTTTTTAATTATCTTTAAATGATGAAAAGGACTCATGTCATGTATTATAAAGCTAGACTATTTAGTGGAAAATGCTGAGGATTTTTTTACATTCTGCTTTGCTATTGGTAAAGGAATTTGTTTCATAAATGTCCATTTTCTAGAATACTTTCTAGAACACTACTTTCTTTGACCTCAATTTCCACAACAATAATTGCCACTGGTTTTGGATTGTGATTTGTTATCCATGTTTATCTGATTCACAACACGTCTCTTGTATTTATAAAAGTACTTTAAGACATGTTTCAATTTTTCCCATTAAAACCAAAATTGTGTGGAACATTTCAAAGTATCTCTTGCTATATGGTTTCTAACCCACCAAAAAGAAAAAAGAATTGCCTTAAACCAAAATTCAGATTTACTGACTAAGAGGAAACAAAACCTCTTAAAACAGTCTACTCCCAATCCTGTCTTTTGGAGTTTAATAATTTAAAAAACTTTGAAAATATTATTTAATAATTTTAAACAATTTAGCTCTGTATTTAATTTTTAAAATTTGGGTAAAAATAAAATACTAGGATTACATAACATCCTGAGGAAGTAACTATAAATCTGTAAACTATCTTTTGATAAAATTAAAGCACTGTTATGAACTGATTCTACTTCACCAATTCAATATAAATTATATAAAGATGTCTCATAGAGAAAAAATCTGTTGAAGTGGCTCAATATGAAGCATTATGTACAGGTCATTTTTCTGCAAGACTTTATATTTCATATACTGTATGTATATGAAATGCTGAAATTGCGTATTACCATAAAATTTTATCTGCTAAAGAAAATGCTCTATTAGTCTAAAATGTATTTAAATCCATCTCTTTACAGAAACAATTTTTATCAGTATCACTTTCGTGTAGTTATAAAATGTTGATCACTGTCAACTAAAATAAATTCTAATAATTAATATAATACATACCTTTTTTCATTTAACTTTCCTGCATGTCTTACATTTTAGATATTTTCTTCCAAGAGCACCAACTAACTACATTGACTCCCTCCCAGTCAAATTTGGGGGGTGGCAAGCAAGGTGGGGGAAGGGGGAGGTGGGAGAACAGAAAAAGAGAAAAATATTAACTACTTGGTTCACCTGTGACAGAACCCAGAGTGACCTCTTGTGGTAAATACTAACTACAGTACTTTGGTGAACAGCACAACCTTTTCCTAGGCTACACTCTGGAGAATGCAGAAGCATTGTTCCTCCAAGCTAAGAAACTCGGCTGTGACTCACAAGGAAAGAAAAAGATAAACACTGACTAAACTAAAGGGCTTCTTTAGGAAATCTACTCAGTCGCTATCAATTAAAATAATCATAACTACGCCCTTCTATTAAAAATAATGTTTATATGATCCTTTTAGTAAGTCAGTTACAAGGTGCCTAGGTAGATGGATGTCTTACACATCCTACTTCTGGAATCAAGCAAAAGATAAACAAAGAGGGCAATTTCTAGTGAAGATAACAGTATCTTAGAATAAGCATCCCTCTATCAGCAATGTGCTGCATTCATTATATAACACAGTGTGGGAATCTAATGCAAGGGACAATCTTGTGGCTTATGTATAAATATAATTTAGGAAGTGGTCAGTATAATTTCAACCTCTTTGATATTTTAAATGTTAAAGTGGTACATTATAAGACCTGAGTAAACCAGTGCTTCAAAAACACTGTGTGGTTTTATCAGTATTTCCTGAATAGTGTCTTAGATATTAAAGAAAACCTTTCAAGAAAAAATGTCAATAACTTTATAACAACAACAACCAAAATAATGTCCATTTGTTTTCCATTATTTCTTTTAAATTGGCTAATTGTAAAAGTTATTATTCCTTTTTTGTTTTGTTTACAGATCACTAGTTCTGCTTCCTCTCTTATAGGTTTCTTTTAAGACCTCAGTTTGTACAAATGTCAATTCAGCATGAAAATAATTTTGGACTTTTCTACAAGTAAGAGATAGCTGAGTAAAAAAAGTGCTTGTGCAACCAGCTATCTCAAGCAGAATGAAAAATTGAGGATACTGAGTTTCTTCTCTTGAAAGGTAAGTGGTTCATAAAATACTACCTTCTCTGTTTTCTTCTTTCCTGAACCCCTTTTTTCCCCAAAAAGAAAAACACTTCTAGTTTTCCACAAAACTAAAATAAACTTCCAATTTGTCATAAAGCTTAAAATATTAAATAATAATAATTTCTAGTTAAAAGGTATTAATTTGTAGTTAAAATTTTCAAAATAGCAACCTAGCTTACTGTCACTCAAACTAATCATGTCTGCCTATTTGCTAAGGAATTGAAGACAACATATGAGTAAAATGTGCTGCCCAAAGACAAAATCAGGTTGAAGGTCTTTGAAATATTTTTTGTCTTTTGAATCTAAATTTTAACCTAAAAGTCCTAAAAACAGTTACTTTCTTCCAGATACTTAACCTCTACCCACAAGTTTATTGCTCCCTAGAGCCCAATTTAGATTAATAGTTTGCATAAATAATTGAAATTTAAATAAAGGAAGGTATCCTAATAATGTTCTAGACACAAATCTAGTCTGTAAGCCCTTGAGGCAGGGGCCTTCTGGGAGACATTGCTCAGCTGTAATGAACTCACCACATAGTCCTCTAAACCTTCCCTTACTAATGGCTTATTTTGATCGTACTAGCCAAAAGTTTGTCTAAGCCGTCCTATAGCATTTATACTTTAAACTTTACAACTTCTTAGAGTAATAATGTTCTCTATATTTACTAGAATCACATGCTAAGAATTATTATAATTCCTTTTGTCTAGAAATGATCTTATCTTTTATCTTTAAACTAAAAAGAATTCCTTGCTTCTTTTGAGATTTGGCTATAAAGGGTGTGTGTATCCATCCTACTCAATGGCCCTCATTATTTTATTTTATAGACTTTGAATCACCAGTAACAACTTGCAATGCTCGCTTATAACAGACTGAGTCAACTAAATAAGGAAAATAAAAATCCAGTCTCAAGAGGTGTGAAATAATAGCATAGGTTATAGTTGCCACTCTGGAGTACAGAATACAGTGCTGGTATTCTGGGAAACTGCATCTGAGGAGTTTGGAACTTTATTAAGAAATCCTCAGGTATAAAATTGATATTCAAATATGCCACACTTCTTGCTTTTTTGTTTCACATCATCAAAAAAATGTTCTGGTAAATTTGTAACTGGCTGAGATTTCAGTTCATTGGTGATACCCATGGACAAATAAATGTCTGACATTTTCTCTTTGTGTCCATTTCCCTTGCATGTCCCATAATCTCTCTCTCTCTCTCTCCCACCCCACCCCTTTCTCTCTGCTCTGTGTGTTTTGTTTTGTTTTGTTTCCTACATCTCTGTTTTGCTCCTTGTGTGCAAGACAGAGAAAAAGAGTTAGATTGCTTCCTCTCTGTCTGTAGGGTGGTGGACACACTTTACAGACAAATCCTAAAAAAGAAGAAGTAGGATATTCCTCTTTTCAGTTTTCTGGGTGGATGCCTGACCAGCTGAGTGTTTACCTATGTGACTGTGTATTATCTGGGTATCTCTCTATATCTATGTCTATGTTTGGCTGACTCTCACTGTAAGATCTGACCTTTTCATAAGAAGAAAATGGTATTGTATCAGAAAGAGCTTTTCTTGGGGTTCAGGTAAAAAGACAAGGCCAGCCTCTGTTTCTTCAATTGTTAAATAGATTGGGAGTGCTGGGTGCTATTCTTTCTCTTCCTGCTAAACCTCTGCCAACACTTCACTTTCAATGTTGTTAAGTTAGTGAATAATGAAACCTTCAAAGTGACAAACCTGATCCATCTGTGAGAATCCTGAAGGGAATTTTCTATTAGTCTCAATTAAACAATTTCTCAGGATAAATTTTTCTATTTCTCTGCCAAATCATATAGAAATGACAACTGCGGGATATTCCCCCGTGAATGTGTAGACCAATTTAATACCATAATTCTCAATTTCTGAGGTTCTGCCTATAAAAGAGGTACTGAGACTTTTCAGTATTTATCACACACACCTGCATATATACTCACTACAACTATCTAACACACTTCAAACAGTTCAGGGTCTTTGAGTAGTGGTATTCAAAGTTAGCCATAGGCGATTAGAGGTGGCATTTAAGTGCCAAAACAGATAAATTTTCATTTTCACTTGGTATTGTCCAGGAAAGAAACATTTAACCAATGAAACGATTATGAACATGAAGTGTAAAAAAGATAAAATACTCATTAATTTGAGTGGTAGATACAAAATGGAGGCAACAGAAACAGACATTTCTAAGCCACCTAAGGTAAATCTTTATTTCATAGTATATCTACAATTTTTAAAAATTCAAAAAACTATCTCATAGTTTCATAGTCTGCATAAGAAGCTTCAACCACAGTTGCTATATTAATAAAGTTTAGTCAAGGGATTCTCATGTTCTTTCTCTTTATAAAGCAGAGCAATCGTAACCCTGCAGATTTTATGTTTTAAGGCCTTCTCTGAAAAGTTCTCTCATAGACCAAATTGCGTGAAGTTGAAATAACCCAAGAGGATGAGAAAGCTGAAAGAAGACTTGTATACTTAACTAATTCCAATAATCCACACATTTTCCCCAAACTGTTTTAAGAGTAATATCCCCTTGTATTATAGGTTTAGTATAATCTTAATACAAGAAGGTAATCTATAAGAATAAAAATTGCCTACCATTATGAATTTATATAACTAAAAAATATACAGGTATTTAAAAGAATATTAGGCCAGACCCTATTCGCTATTTTTTCCGACCCAAATACAACACTACTGCTTTAGACTTTTATTGTTTCAGGCATTGGCCAAAACGAAGAAATAAAGTTTAAAACCTCAAATTAAAAACAAATAACAAGTCAGATATTTGGGGAAAATACTTTGAAACACTTAAATACAGTTAGTCTCAAAATCAGAGGAAATATTTACAAGCCTAGTCTTAAAAGAGATTCTAATCTAAGAATTAGTATAATCTAATCTACCATTTAGGGAAAGCATTATTTATTTAATTATTTGATATTTCAGTGTACCTCTGTCTTTCCCTGTGCCTCCAACTAGGCAAGGAGCCTCTTAAGAAGAGGGGATGTGTATTAATTACTTTTTTTTAATCCCAAGAAACCACAGAGTATCTGTGGTATAAGGCACCCAAATAAATATTGTTTCAATGAATGAATAAACAAGGCACTATGGAACTGCATAGAGTATTTCCATTGCTTTGTTCCAAGCTCTACTGTACTCCATATACAGAAATGTCTTTCTCATTATTCTCCAAGCAAGAGATGTCAAAATAACAGCCTCTGAAGGAAAAACTTAAAAAGATATTCAACATATCTTACTTATGAAGTTTAAAATTATACAAAAGAATTAAAAACAAGTAGAAAACGCAGATTTCAGTAAGATGCAAAGTTTATAAGGTCTTAAAATGTGGAAATATATAACCATTCCCATCCAAAATATCTTGTAGGAAATGAATGTATAAATGGATGGTATTTTAAAGACACACTAAGGCAAGAAAACTTTAACGCCAGTAGCAAGGTAGGATGGCATCTTTTTGATTTTTTTCTAGTTGCATTAAAAGCACAATAGTTACTGCTTCACTTCTACGTTTCTCATGTTTAAGTCAAACGAAATATATAGATGAATGTACAGTGAAAAACATAGCAAGAAGAAACTTGAAGCACCAATTTGTCCACAGTAATTGGCTTCCCATTTTGCAAGCACTGAACTCTTTCTTAGGTTCAACCTCAACTACTCTCCCCGGCACAAAGCACCTTTCCCCGTGACCACGAGGGCCAAAAGCCTTTCCAGAGATTTAAATCTTGTTAAGTAGCCACTTTCGCAGCCATTCCCAACTTGAGGGAAACCTTTCCACTGAGATTAACTCAGAATTTGGTCAGTCCCTGCTGCTCACTTTGGGGAAAAATGTGGGAGAAGGAAGAACAAGAAAGATAAAAGCAAAACTCAACTCTATGTTCCAGATGTACCTACACCCTATCCAACCCCTTTCTTTCCTCCAGTTCTGGGCTCTGGACAGGTGGGAGGGGGTGAGTCTGTCTGGTAGGAAGGGGATGCAACTAACTTTCCCCCACCATCTCATTGCCACCCCACCCCACCCCAAATCCAGCCCAACTGGTAAATGAAACCACCAGGTAAGGCTGCCTGCATCCTCCTCCCCCCTTGGGAGAGGGATGGGATGGGGAGGATGGGGGGCGCGTGTGGGCGGGATGGAGGTGGGGGTGTTCTGAACTACAACTCTCCTTACCACTGGAGCGCCTGACGATGTTCTCCAAAAATGTGTTCTGCGGTGCCACCAGCCCTCTCTTGCCCCCCGGCATCCTGGGTCTGGAGAGCAGCGGCCAGGATCCGCGGCGGGGGAGGGGGGGATGCAGGCAAAGAAGGTGGAGGAAGAGGAGGAAAAGGTGGAAGAGAAGATTGAGCCGAAAGAAGAGGGGGCGCGGCGGCGGCGACGGGGTCCCCTGACTGTGTCTCCAGCCCGACCCGGATGAGCAGCTCTGGGGAGGAGGACCAGGCAGTTCATGGTAGTAGCGCTCCCCCGGCCGCCGCTGCCCAGACTGTGGCGGTGCCGCACACGGGGCTCGGGAACTGCAGGCTCCGCGGGGCACAGTGCGCCTGCGCCGCCCCCGCTGTCGCTGTCCCGCCGGTGCTGATGCTGAGGCTGCTGCTGAGGCTGCTACCGCGGCGGCCGGCGCCTGGGCGCGGGCTCTGCATCTCTCCCCCTGCTGGGGAGCGCAAGCGGGAACTCAAGCCCCCACCCTCCCAATCCCCCTCAGCTCAGACCGAGACCCCTTCCCCGCGCCTTCGTCTCCCGGTCTCCTCGTCCACCCCCTCGCGCAGCGAGCTCCGGGCTGAACAGCGTAGCCCAACTTCTGGGCTGTGCGCCTGGTGGTTGCTCCTCTCCCCGGAGATCGAGGCAAGCGATCGCTGTCCAATCGGGCCGGTGGAATGGGAGAAGAGGGTGCCAGAGAGAGCAGTGGCCAGTCGGAGGCTCACATCTCGGCGTCTCCCGCTCGGGTCCCGAATCCGGGCTGCTGGCGCGGACGCGGCTCCCGGGGCGGAGGTGCGGGCAGGCTCCAGCTCCAGCCCCAGCCGAGGCTGAGAGCAGGGCAGGGACTGGCTGGGCGGCGCGCGGGGACGCAGAGCAGCCACCTGACGCTGCTACCGCCCCCCTCCGGGCTCCGGCGCCTGAAACCTTCCTGAACACTGGCGCTTTCCGCACCGCCCTTACCCCACCCCGGAGCGGGAGCGCGAGCCCTGAAGTCCGAGCGCACAGCCGGCGCCCGGAATGGCCCCTGCGACCCGGGCCGGGCTTGGCGTCTGGGGGAGCGTGCGGCCGCCCAGGGGAGTTTCCCCCAGGACCGCTGAGCGCAGGAGGCGATCCGCGAGCCCGCCACCGCTGCAAAGTTGCGGGAAAGGTTGCACTTGATGTGAAGAGTAGGGGAAGAGGGTGAATAATTCACACCCGAGAGAGGGGGAGTGAGGAGGGCAGTGTTAGCGATGGAAAAACGGTAAAGGCTGTGGGGGCGAAGATGCGCCAGGGTGGAGCAGGGCACGAATCACCTCTAACAAACCCCCCAATTTCCAGGCGTTGAGAACGGACAGCAGCGGCACCGTTACAAACAGTCCAAAAGCCTGAATGTGTCACAGAGAAAGGAAAATGGCATAAATGCGAAAGGGGTGGAGAGAGATGGAAAGGAAAGAGGAGCCCGCACTGAGGCACCTTCCTTGATCTAAGGCAGTGGTTCTCAAAGTGGCCTGGACGGGCAGCATCCGCATCTGCACCACCTAAGAACTTGTTTATAATGCAAATTAGTGGATTCTACCCCAGAGTTAGGGAACCAGGAACTCTGAGGATTGGGTTGACTCATCTGTTTAAACAAGCCCTCCAGGTAAATATGATACATGTAAGGCTTCCTCTTTTCTCTGGGGGCTGCACCTGGGCCTGTCGAGAAAGGACGATTGTGCAAACAGGGTCAAAGAGTGGGGGACCAAAAGTGCACTGCCGCGGCGTCAGCGGTTGGTGGTAGAGCGAAGTCTTCAGTGTTGAAGGCGAAAAGATAGTTGGATGGGTGCGTCCCCTTTTGCTGGGGTCAGAATGTGCTAGAGGAGAGGTAATTGCGTTAGAAATTATCAAGGTCAGATTACCAGAAGCAGGGAGAATCCCCAGGCAGGGGTGGAAGTACACATCTCAGCACCTGTCCCCTTTTGGAACCCCCTAGATTACTAATCACTGACCTCAAGACAGGATCTCTCTCTCTCTGTCTGTCTCTGTCTCTCTCTCTCTCCCTCCTTGCCTCCCCTCCCCTCCCCTCCCCTCCCCTCCCCTCCCTCTCTCTCTCCCCTTCTCTCTCCCCTTTCTCTCTCTTCCCACCTCTCTCTCTCCCCCCACCTCTCTCTCCCTTTCTCTCCTCTCCCCAACTGGGTAAGCCTACTGCTTGAAGCAGCTAAATGCAAAACCAGGATCCAGCCTTTACCTTGGGGTCATTTTTTCCCTCTCTGAAATTTTCAGAGACCAGGCAGCTGAGCAAACCCAGAAGGTTGACACGAGGCAATTTTATTCCGCTAAAAATCTTTATGCAAAAAAAAAAAAAAAAAAATCAAGAGACTCGGTGGAATAACACTAGGCTATTCTAGCTTTCCACAGGAAGTGCTGCTGGCCATGGAGCTTATCCCCTTACAGTTAAAATGTCTTTTAAATACATCAGGTGTGTTTAGTTAAATAACAAGAGACTCAGGTGCAGATTGGATCCGTAGTGAGCTTGCCACAGCAGCACTCAAGAGATACGGCCAGGTTACAACTCCCTCCCTGCAGTTGGTGGGAAGAACTGAAACCACCATCACCACAGCAGCCTTAAACACATAATTGAATTTCCCACTCTAGCGATTCTTTTGTGACCTGTGTTCAAATGATCCTAAACTAATCAGTCATTCATTGGCTGGGTTGGTGAATAGACAGACTTATTTTTTAAACATGTATAATTCATTGATTGCTATTCTAGACTTCTAGCATGCTATAATAATTCCATCATCATTAACAGAGAATATTTCAAATCTATATGTTCTTTTGCACATCGTCAGCTGCCCACATCTCGCCTATGGGTATTGATTTAAAATCTCAGGTTCTCAGCATTTCCCATCTAGTATATATATTCTTGTTCCTAATCATTCCTCTGTGGGTGTATTAACTCACATTTCCCAAAGAGGAAATTCTTTTGGACTCCATTAAGACACAATCACAAAATTACTGGTAGAACTTTCTTATTCCCATCTGCAGATTCAATTAAATGACATTTATCCTTTCTTCTTTGTTTCTAATAACTCCATAGCATTATAACGTTTGGATTATTTTAATGATCATAAAAAATGTAGCTGTGTAGTGTCAAAAGGTTACACACTTTTCTTAATCTTCTAGTTTAAATTTTCATTTTATAAAGGAAGAAACCAAGACCCAGAGAGATGAAATATCCTGTCCCAGATGACACAGTGCTTTAGAACAGTCTGCACTGAGACTAAAATCAGGTCTCCTGACCCTGTAGCCAGAGCTCCTTGTAAATAATAGAAAATAACCTAATCTTAGGCTAGTGTGGTAACAACCAGCAACATCAAGGATCTCTATTGCCATCGATGATTTTGCAGCCCATGAAAGAAGAGAAACCCTTGGCAACAACTTGCAACTGTTCCCAATCAAAATAGAGTCAAGGAAAATAGAGTAGCAGCATCATATAGATTGACTGGCCCTAAGGAATATGCTGGCCAGTTGCAACAAGGTGCTAATACAGCATTTTAAAAGTGTGTTACAGACTCCGTATGTGGGGAACAAACCTCAAGATTTAACAGATGAGAGAGATAGGAATTAGAAAGCTTCAATGTCACACAAAGACAAAGCTTCGTTTTGTTATATTGTCAAAAGTCCATTTTAAAACAGAATCATTTGTTCTTTTCTTCTGTCCCTCCAGGTATGGTAATTAGACCTTGTCTGTGATAACCAAGAATTCCAATCCCCAGAAGTGTTCACTGACTCCTAAATCACAGCAGAATGGAAGCTGGCTGAGTGAACTGCAGGTGTGTTCTAGTCTAACCGAAACCAATATAAACGAGAAGGCTTAGAAAACTGATGTAGGAAGTGATGATTTGGAATTACTACTGATTCACTGAAGGACTCTTTTATCAAATACCCCTCCTCTGAAGATTTTCTAATATAGTTTACTTGACAGTAGCTGTAATTATATGTAAATTTTCAAAAATGCATTACAAATAGGTACAGTTGGACTTACTCTTTGATCCCTTTTGTGCAAATGATCCAAGCACTACTTTCTCGGGAAATTTTTATCCTGTTTCCTGCTTTCTGTTTCTGAGCAAACCTCAGTACAGCTCCAAGTTACAACCTGTATGTAGATGCTAAATGGGTGGCTCTGATGGAGGGATGGGAAGAAGGAAAAAAGGAAAGGGGCAAAAGTGATTCCCTATCATGGCCTCCAAGGTTGGCCTCACTAGCAGCAGCATCACTCCATTCCATTTTTAACTCCCTAAACTTCACTGCGTGCCTTTCCACAAAGCCCTATCCCAGCTCTAGCAGTGAAGCATACAAACATCACTAAATTTCTTTGCATGCACCAAATCTCACATTTACACCCATATCTTCTACCTTTCCTCCTTTCTGCTCCCCCCAACTCAGGATCGAAGTTGAGAGAAAGCAGACTAGAGAGACCTAGTGCTTGGACTGTGGACCCAGACTACCTAGAATTTAATCTTGCCTCTCCCACTTACTAGCTATATGACCCAGGGCAGGTTATTTAAGCACAACATCCCTTTCTATAAAATGGGGATAATAATTACCTATTTAATAGTGCTGATATGGAGATTAAGTTAGTTCCTACTTGAAAGCAATGCAGACAATATCTGACAGGTAATAAGCACTATGTAAGTGTTTGAAAGTAAATACATGAGCCTTTTCCTCCCCTTCAACTTTCATTTACAGTGAAGGCTCTAGATAGTGGTCACTACTAAGGTTCACCAATATCCAGTTGCCTTTTCCTGCTCCTTGAAATCAGTGTGGCTATGCAACTAATGCTGGTCAATGAAATAGGAATGGAGGGAAAGGGTGTTACTTCCAAGTGAGCATCTAAGAACCAGGACTTATTTTCTCATCTTCCTCTTCCCCTGCCTCAGTGACTAGGGAATGCCAAGAAATACAAGGAGAACACCTGCCCAAAAGTGTTACCTAGACCTCAGTAGACATTATATAAGCAGGAAATAAACCTTTGTTGTGTCAAGATACTGACAATCCAGCACTATTTGTTACTGTGCCATAACCTAGTCTATCTATCCTGGCTGGTACAGGTTATTAACTTGCTTTGGGAACAGGAGATCAGAGGAACAATAATTCTCCATCCTGACTGCACATTACAGTCACCTGGAGACTTTGTAAGAATCCCAAAGCCACAGCCCAGACCAAGTAAATCAAAATTCCAAAGGATGAGACACAGGCATTACTATTTTTTTTTAAAGTTCCCCAGGTGATTTCTTTTTTTCTTCTTCTTTTTTTTTTTTTAAATGGAGTCTTGTTCTGTCACCAGGCTGGAGTGCAGTGGTGCAATCTCGGCTCACTGCAACTTCCGCCTCTTGGGTTCAAGCAATTCTCCTGCCTCAGCCTCCCAAGTAGCTGGGACTATAGGTGCCCACCACCAAACCCAGCTAATTTTTGTATTTTTAGTACAATTGGGGTTTCACCATGTTGGCCAGGATGGTCTTGATCTCTTGACCTCATGATCAGCCCGCCTCGGCCTCCCAAAGTGCTGGCATTACAGGCATGAGCCACTGCACGCGGCCGTGATTTCTATATGTATCAAGGTTTAGAACCACTGACCTAGAACAAGGCTGCATCCTATGGGAATCTCTGGGGTTTCAATACTGTATGAAAATCCTCAGCTCCCAAGGATCATACCTTCAGTTTCACCTCTCCCACAAAGGCTCTATTACATGCAGCTGTGAGTTTCTGTGTACTTGTATCTGCTGAGCAGCCCAGAAGAGAACCACAAAACCTCCCAGACTAATGCACCATAAATTGAAGGCCTCCTAACTCAACTTGACCTTCTCAATACAGCCCAATCCTTCTGTACATCCTGATCAGCTGCATTTTCCATTATCTGCTGTAGCTTTCTCAAAGCATCTTGTCTCTTTTCACACCTCAGTCATCACTTTTTCACCTCCCAGTCTCAGAAGATCACTCGTAGAAAACAGGTCATGATGTCAATTCTTAGACTTCCTGCCATTGCTCTCTCTTCCTTTTCTTCTTTCTTCCAAACAAATAGAAAGCAATTTCTCTCACCATCCCTCCATCACTGATCTGGATCCTATTCATTTGGGCCTCTGGAGACCTCATTTTGCTGACTGTCCCCTCATTTCTCACTTTGACATTTAACATGCTTTAAAAATGCTTTCTTAACTTGTTATTTCCCTCAAGATTTGGCTCTGTCTCTCCTATCTCTTCATGGTCAATCTTCTGAGAAGTCTGTGATAGGTGTCTCCACTTTCTTGCCTCCTATTCACTCCTTAACCCCCAACAAATTGGCCTCCTTTCAACTGTTTTCCTGAAGTTGCCTCCCCAAAGGTAATTTTTAAATTGCGAAATCCAGTGAGGCAATTTCATTGCTAATCTACTTTACCCACCTATGACGTTTGAGCCTATTACTAATCCTTTCTTCTTGAAACATTCTCCTACCTTAGACTGACTTGTTTTGAATACTGATGCTGTAATCTCAGCATGCATTTTCATTAACCTATCTGTGCCTCAGGGTTTTTTTTCTGTAAAAAAAATTAATAATGCCTACCACATATGGTTGATGTAAGAATTAAATGAGATAGTACAGGTGGAGAATCTTGCATCCAGCTTTCTGAAATAGAAAACTCTGATATCCTACGGGTTTTTTTCATAAATTTTTTACAAACTCATTTGCCAATAAAACCTGACCTGAACTGTTAGGTGGCTATTTGTACTCTTTTTTTTATCCCATCTGCTGTGGATATTGACCATGTCTTGCTGCACAGATATTCATGTGTTTGAAAACAGAGATTGCTGCCCCTAACCCCAGTGAGACAGATACAAATACATAGAAATCCACAAATATCTGAATTCCAAAACACAGATCTTTTTCCTGCAACTGTAGATACCCATACCCATGGACTGACTGGCAATTCCACGGGAATCTCTAACATATTCAAAACAAATGAATCATCTTGCAGCCTGCCCAAACTCTCTCCCCCTCCAGTGTTTCTTATCTCAGGAGCTACCTCTATCCACCCAGTTATCCAAGTTAGTAACATCAACACTTCTCTACCCCCGACTCCACATCCAGTCCTATTCATTCAACCTCCCAGATATCTCTTTAAACTATCCACCTCTCACTCTCTCTGTTGGCTCTGCTCCAGGTCAGGCCCCGTCATTTTTTACTTGGATTTCCACATCAGCCTTCCAACTGGTCTCCCTTCTTCCTGTGTTTTCCGGCCATACATAGTCCTCTCTATTTTCTTCTCCAAGCTCCACCACAGTTCATTTTTCCCCCTGCACTATAGCTAAAGTGATCTTTCTAATGCATAAATCTGTTATGTCATTTCCCTGTGTAAACACTTCTAAGTCTCTTTGCCCCCAGGTGAAAGCTCAAAGCCCTTACCTGGCCTTTTTATATCCTTCCCTATCTGACTCCTGCTTATCTATCCAGGATCAACTCTCATCATTCCCCATTCCAACCCTCCACCTTCATACTTCCTCCCTCCCTATGTCCCTTTGTATTCCTTGTGCTTACTATGCTGTCTCTTTCTTCCTCCACCAATGTCCTGCATCACTAGCCACTAGCCACCTTACTTCAGACACTATATGAGATGTCATTGCCTTCAAGAGGCCTTCTTTGACTCTCCATGACCTGGTAAACAGCCCTTCCTTCCTGTAAGTTCTTCTAATACCACTCTATGCTTCCTCTGTTGCAACATTGTACCTCACTCTTTGCATCTCAATGTTGTTAAGACAAAAATAATAATAATAAAAAAGAAAAGATTGCAAATACAGTTGAAATCTTATGTATCTCTTCACCAGAACTGCCACTAGTGCTTTTGGCATCTTCGTGAGAATTAGGAAAAGAAGTCCCTTCTGGCCAGTCATAGGGCCAAGTCACAGCACACCGATTGATGAGATATTTGTGGGCTGGATTTCAGCCTCTATTTTTTCCCTTAATGGGTGTGCTTGGTGGGAAGAAGGAGGGAGCTTTCTAGCTGACAGAACTAGAAAAAAGGAAAATCATAATGATAAGAAAGCTTGTGATATGTGACTAACAGTAGACAAAATGAACCTTTAAATGGAAGATAGAATTGGAGGCAGTTAGGGGCTCATCAGGCCAACTTAAGGGGTTTGGACTTTATTCTGTAGGCAATGAAAGACATATTTTGAGTAAATATGTGACATGGTATTTGAGGAGAAAAAATCAGTTTCTGATTGAAGATGCTTTAGGGAGAGAAAAGTCCAGGATTGAAAAAACTACTTAAGAGACCCCTATATACAAGAAGCTGATATTTTTGAAATATTAAATTATTCCCAAGCCCCATATTTACTGTCACCCTCTTGCTTTCATTGTATCATCATTCCTCACCACAGCTCACCTCTTCCTGGCTTTTGAATTTCAAGTCTAAGCATTAGAACAGAAATACAATGAGAAAAGTGTTATAATAAAGGCTCTATACATTCTTACCCGGTGTTAGTCACTGTTCTAAATACTTTACACGAATGGTCTCATTTAATCTCATTTAATTTTAATAGAGCAAAATTGAATTTAATTCAATTCAACAAATATTTATTATGCATCTATACACCAGGCACCATAGTAGGTATTTACATTATCCTCATTGAACCAAAAAGAAACTGAGAAACAGAGAAGTTCAGTAACTGGCACAAGGTCACAAAGGTAGTATGTGATGGAGTCAGGATTATGTCCTCAGGTACTCTGTCTTCAAAGCCCAAATGCTTAGCCATCTATTTCACCATTGCACTACACTGTCACCCAAAAGATTTTGAAAATATCTAAGAACCAGCTGTCTCATATGCTCCACATCCACCCTAAATGAGAAAAAAATTCCCCTGTGCTAAGGGAAGGAAGACAAGTTGGAGAAGAAGAGTAAGGAGGACCTTCTCCTGCCACAATGCAGGGAGAGCTGTGGATCTCCAAGGAAAATAACACAAACCTCAGATGTAAATTTGGAGACACAAATATTTAAACCATAGCAACATTGTGAAAAATAAAAATTTTAGGAAATATTCTTCTAATATTAAAAAACTACTATCAAATGACACATAATTACAATTAGATAAGAGAAATAAACTTCAAGGGATCTCATTGTACAGCAATGTGACTATAGTTAATGGTGATATATTGTAGTCTTGAAAAATGTAAAGTGAATGGATGTTAAGTGTTCTTACCACAGAAATGACAACTATGTGAGGTAATGCACTTGTTAATTAGCCAGATTTAATCATCCCACAATGTATATGTACTTCAAAACATGTTGTACACCACAAAAATATACAATGTTAGCTGTCATTTTAAAAAAGATTTTTTAACTATCAAATTTAACAAAGAAGTCACACACAACATTGACAAATGTATAAATTTTTAGAATATATCTTCATTGTTCCATTTTCATCATTAAGATAAAGGAAAATACCAACCAATGTTCCTGTTGGAACTACCTTATCATCAATTGTAACCATAGGTTGGCTACAGATGCAAGAGTGAGGCAAAAACCGGTGAAAGTATCCTGTGAGAATGAGTAGGTCACATGGAATTTGCAAAAAGAGAGATGACTATTTTAATAGTATTTGAAAATTATGTGCTACATATCCTTTTATCAGTAGAATTTATAATAAATTTAAATATGTATATATGTGTGTGTATGTATATATATATGCGTACATATATATATATACATGCATGTTTTTCTCTTGAGAGCCACCTGTTAAACCTTTACCCTCACGTCACTGTGCAATTTGCCACTTCAAAGTTTAGCAATCCCAGTGCAAAGATAAATTTCTCTCTCCCTAACATCCAAATATCAGTCCAGAGGAAGCCCTTGATTTGCCCTACCAGGATCACATGTCTACATGCTAGTATCTGCACCAAGAATGGGTGCGGAGGGGCTGTATTACTGTAACTGACCAAGCCTGGCATATGCTCTATCCTGGCTGCTGAGCAATGCAGCATTTGGTAGTCTCACTAACTATGGAGATAGACACAGTTCTCTAGAAGGAATAATGTTGCAGAGCAAACAAAAACAATACACACTCATTATAGTAGGTCCTCAATAAGTGGTAGCCACTATGATCTCTAACCTTTTTTTTTTTGAGACAGAGTCTCGCTCTGTCGCCCAGGCTGGAGTGCAGTGGCACGATCTCGGCTCACTGCAACCTCTGCCTCCTGGGTTCCAACAATTCTCCTGCCTCAGCCTCCCGAGTAGCTGGGACTACAGGCATGCATCACCACGCCCGGCTAATTGGTTTTTTTTTTTTTTTTTGGATTTTCAGTAGAGACGGGGTTTCACCATGTTGGCCAGGATGGATCTCTAACTATTTAATCTCTAGAAAGAAAATTAGCAACAATGTACTTATTTAGTAGTACATGTGACATTTTAAGATTTAAAAATCCCCAACTCATTTAAATGTTCTCCTTTCTCCAAGGCCTCTATAGGGTTCTGACCATTAGCTGTTCATGCATTGCTTCTTTCTCTTAACTAGCACTTCCTAAGTCCCTAATCTGTTCAAGGAACTGGGCTAGGTGCTGTGGATCTGCTTCAGTTTACTCTATATTTGATAAGTGGCAATCTAGCCTGATCACAAGCCCATCTGTTGTGTCACAAACATCCTGTCCTGAATATGCTACCACTTCTTAAAAAAACAGCTTATGCTACCTCAGCTTCAGTAGACTAATTGAACCAAACATGTTCAAAGAAGCAAACTCTAAGAATAAATCCCCAAATGTCAACGCTGTCTAGGAGGAATGAAGAAACATATGGGATCCCAGGCATTCTTCAAATTGTGCATGCCAAAGTGTTGGAGGGGCTGGGCTCCAACAGCAGTTTTATGCCTTCCAGAAAAGTTGTGTGGTCATGTAGTTCTAATTGTAACCTTGAAAACAAATAAATAGGGCATTTAAACAGTCGTTGCAAATAAGATTCTTATCACAAAGGGCCATTCTGTTGCATTCTATTTGTAGTATAAAGCACTGTTACATACAGCTTTAAAATTGGTCAAAAAAGTCCTCTATTGTAAGAACATCCTCTGCATGTGAATTTAATGAATGCTGTTCACCCTCTATACCATCTTTGGAGAAATCAGGTCAGCATCTTCTCTGGTTATGACTATAGGGTTCTTTGGGGAAAAAAAGAAAAAAAAAAAAAAAAAAAAACCATGGCATGCATCTCACTTACTTCCAAAAGTGAACAAATGGCTCTTATGCCAGAAAGAAATAGATCAAAGTGGCTCAGATGTGTAAACCAGAAGCAGTTAAAAGAGTTTTGGTTTAAAGGATATGTATGGACCAAAAAGAAAACAAAAACTTAAGAAGTGAAAGGAGACAGCTCAGCTCACATCAAGAGAGAAAGAACAGTCTAAAATAGTCCAGAGGACTCTATAGACACAGGCCAGAACCTGCACCATTGGCGGATGAGATAGGAGAAAGAAACTAGGAATAGGGCTGGAGCTGGCAGGTGGGAGGCTTGAGTGACAGCTCTGTGCTAGGCTCTGCTTTAGGTATGGGTCAAAGGCAATCACCAAGACTCACTTTTCAAGACAGGTATTATTTGCCATCGCATTACAGATGAGAAAGCCAAGACTCAAAGAAGTCCATAACTTGCCCAAGGTCACACAGCTGATAAGTGGCAGAACCAAAATTCAAATTCAGGCCTGTTTAGCTCCAAAGCCCTCTTCCTATAGGCCAGCCCAGTGAAACTGGACAGCAAGCATCCAAATCCCAACATCCAAAGAGATAGTGGTGAACTTGACTATAATGTCGGCTGTCACTCATACCCGGAGGTGGAGCATGGCAAAAAGCTTAGAAGGTGGCAATATTTTCAGCCAGGTGGGTGGAACAGGTAGGGAAGGGTGGAAAGCTAAATAGAGGAGAACAATCTGTCTGATTAAAGGCAACATCTCAGCCAATGGCTAGGGATGGAATCAGGAACAAATCAGGCTTCAGCAAGAGGGGCTGGTATGGCTGTAGTCACGAAACCACAAGTCCTAGCCTCCAACTTGAGTTCAAACCTAAACTAGGGGCAGAGGCCCCATCATATGGAACAGAAGGTCACAGAAGGGGGAGATGCGAGAGAAAGGGGCAGGGTCTTGGGATGAAAGTTACAGTTCAGTAGGTTGCAAGCCCCTTAGCAACTCATCCCAGAGTAACTGGACCTTAGGCTTAACGCAAGACCACACCTGGCAGGGACATACATACTTAGGTACTAAGATGCCTCAGCCTCTGAGTGGGTTAAGCCTGCAGGTTTAAAGGTCTTCAGCACTGGGATCCAAGCATGGCTGTGCAAGAAAGCCACAGAAACAACAAAATCATCAGATTATTTGTTGAGAGCCTACTCTGTGCCTGGTTCTGTGCTGCAGTCCAGGGATGCATTGGTGAATAAGACAGACACAGCCCTGCCCTCATGGAGCCTACCTTCTAGTAGAGGAGACAGACAAAGAACAAGAAACCAACAAATAAGTAAAATATTTGCAAGTCAAAAAAGTTCTAATAAAGGAAAAAACAAGAGGCAGAAATAAAAGAAAAAAGTAAGTGGGTAGATGGGTACATACAGGTGATCCTTAATCATCATGGATTTGAACTGTAGGGATCCACTTGTACACAGATTTTTTTCAATAGATGTCTTGGAAAATGTTTTGAAGATTCACATTTCAAAAAAAAATCTTTCAAATGAACCACATAGCCTAGAAATATCAAAACCAAGAAAAGTTACATATGTCATAAATGCATAAAATATATGGAGATGCTAGCCTATTTTATCATTTACCACCATAAAATATACATAAATCTACCATAAGAAGTTAAAATTTATCAAAATTTACACACGCAAACACTTACAGGCCTTACATGGTGCCATTCACAGTCAAGAGAAATGTAAACAAATGTAAAGATGCAATATTAAATCATAACTGCATAAAATTAACTGTAGTACATACTGATGACTGTAATCATTTCTTAGCCACCTCCTGTTGCTATTTAAAATGCCATGTGACGCTAATCATCTCCACGTAAGCAGTTCCTCTCTCCAGTAAATTGCAGATCTCAGTGAAAAGTGATCTCATGGTTCTCACATATCTTTCATCATATTTGATTCAATACCATAAACCTTGATAACAAGAAAACCCACACAAAGTGCCACTAGTGGTGCTGGAAGTGCTCCCAATAAGCAGAGAAAAGTCATGATATTACAAGAAAAAGTCAAATTGCTTGATATATACTGTAGATTGAGGTCTGCAGCTGCGATAACCCACCATTTCAGATAGCCATTCCTCTTGTAAACAGATGGCTTAAACTTATGTCATTGATAAATACAGTACAGTACTGTCAATGTATTTTTTTCTTACCTTATGATTTTTCTTTATCACATTTTCTTTAGTGTAAGAATACAGTATATAATGCATACAACATACAAAATATGTGTTAATCAACTGCCTATGTTATCTGTATGGCTTCCAGTCAACAGTAGACTGTTGGTAATTAAATTATTGGGGGTTCAAAAGTTATACAGGTGTCAGCACCACTAACCCCCATGCTGTTCAAGGGTCAACTATACTTTAAATGTTCAGTGAAAATCTCTCTGTATACAGCACATTTACGTTGCAAACTAGGGGAAGGAAAGAAGTTAAGCCCAAAAGAAATAGAAGGAATGGCAGGCCAGGCAGAGGAAGCAGCATGACTGTGTAACTGACCTTAGGTGGAAAAAAGTTGGGGATGTTCAAGAAACTGTAAGAAAGGGGCACTGGAGCAGAGGGAGTAAGACAGAGAGAGCTGCAAAGAGATGCTGGGAGGCAAATAAATGCCATAGCATTCAGGGTTTGTAGACCAAAGCAAGGAATTAAAACTTTCCCTTGAAGTCAAAGTAAAAGGGGAACCACTGAGATATTTTAAGGTAGCCTATAGGCATGATCATTAATGGGGGGCCTCATCGTCTTCTTTATTAGTAAGCAATTGATCCAAACAATTACATTACAAATGGGTATTATTATTAAACATAAAGAGTAAATTTTATTATTAGCAATGCATTAACTTTTCATTTTTGTAGCTTCAAGTGCCAAGAAACCTTGTTCACATAAATAACAAGATATGAATGAAAGAAATTTTGTTATAACAGTATCAGTCCATCTTTGTATGACATGATCACCTCTGCAGCTGTGTGGCAGAAGTCCAGAGGAAAGAGTGGGAGAAAGTGAGAAGGCTGTTACCATCCTATAGGCAAGGAACAAAACAGACAGTGGAAACAGATAGAAGATGGCAGGTCAGAGATACATTTTGAAGATAAAATCAGCATGGACTCACCGATGGAATGGGTGTAGAAAGTGAGGATATGGGAGGAGGCAGGGATAGCTCTTCCCTTCTTGCCTGCAGCAACTGGAAGAACAGTGGTGCTGTTGACTGAGATGGGGAAGACCAGTTGGCAAAAGATGTGTTTCAAAAGAGAGCTGCGTTTTGGACATTTTGAATTTGATATGCCAAGTAGAGGCATCAAGCAGGCAATTTGATGGTTGAGTCTGGAGCTCACAGGAAAGGTTGTGGATCCCGGGAGCAGAAGATGTCCCAACCAACAGAACTCTGCAAGGATTTCGTCTTTGGGCATCTGCATTACCTCCATGTCCACATTACCTTTTCTACAATTTCCCAAATATGTTAAAATGTGCTGTTTAATAGCTGTCTTGTCTTCAGTAAAGAGATTAGAAGTAGAAAGAGATAATAATGAGACAAGAGCTACAACAAAGAGTCCAAATGCTCACAGCACTATTTATATTAGGAAAACATGAGGAGCAACCCAACTATCCATTAGTACAGACTAGACTAAATAGTCTCTACTCATAGGCTAAATAGCCTCTACTCATAGGCTAAATATTGCACATTCCTTAAATGAAATCTAGTTCAGCCACCTTGGAATTGCTACTATATATCTACATTTATTTTATTTTCTATTATGAAAAGATATCCACAATATATTATGCAGGGGGAAAAATCATATTATAAAAACAACATATGCTGTATAAATCATGCCTTTTTTCATTAGAGAGAAATTGATAACCATATTGATATGGTCCCCAAATATGCTTCCCTTAGGTATATTTTTCCCTGAGCAAAATGTATACACCAAAATTTGAATCATTGTTGCTTTGGGTGGGGAACTTCTGGGTGAGTTTTACTTTCTTGTTCACACTTTAATGCGTTACCAGATAATTTTTACAATGAGCACACATTTCTATGCATGTATGCTTTTACCTCTGCTTTTATAATCAGAATGAGCCAAAAAAAAAAGAAAAAAGCCATTTTCACTTAGGAAGAACTAGACAAACAACAGTCTAGAAACTTTAGGTGGTAGCCGGAAAGAGCCAGGCTGGCAGCCAGCTGCTCTGCCACTGCCGTGATCAAAACACAGTTTGTGTTTATTCAGTTAAATTCAACAAACATTTCCCATACACCTACTCTGGGCCAGGCTCTGCTTAGATGATGAGGAAGCATAGATGAATCCAATCTTAGTCCTAGGCCTCTATAAACTCACAAGGAAATAACCTGGCTTTAAACACAGTTATAGAAGATTGTATTCGTTTGCTGAGCTGCCATAGCAAAATACCACAGACTGGGTGGCTTAAACAACAAAAATGTATTCCCTCATAGCTGGAAGCTGGAAGTCCAAGATCAAGGTCTCAGCAGGGTTTGTTTCTTCCGAGCCCTCTGTCCTTGTCTTGCAGATGGCCACTTTGTCTTGTGGCTTCTCATGGCCTTTACTCTATACATGTCTATGTCCTAATCTCCTCTTTTTAGGAGGGCATCAGTCAGACAGGATTAGAGCCTGATATGGTTTGGCTGTGTCCCCACCCAAATCTCATCTTGAATTCCCATGTATTTTGGGAGGGACCTGATGGGAGGTAATTGAATCATGGGGCAGGTCTTTCTCATGCTGTTCTCATGACAGTGAATAAGTCTCACGAAATCTGATGGTTTTGAAAAACAGGAGTCTCCCTGCACAAGCTCTCTCTTCGCCTGCTGCCATCCATGTAAAATGTGACTTGCTCCTCCTTGCCTTCCACCATGATTGTGAGGCTTCCCCAACCACATGGAACTGTAAGTCCAATTAAACCTCTTTCTTTTGTAAATTGCCCAGTCTTTGGTATGTCTTTGTCAGCGGTGTGAAAACAAACTAATACAGGGCACACACTGAGAATGTCATTTTAAGTTAATTACCTCCTTAAAGGCCCTGTTTCAACATGCAAATTTCGTGGAGGACACAATTCAAATTATAACAAATATCCACATACTTAGATCTTCAGTGATAATATTCCTATTTATTTTGTGATTTACTACTGATGTCTCTTAAATTTTCTTTGTAAAATCAGAGATATTCAAAAGTAACTTACAATTAATTAAAAAAGCATATAAATAAAGACAATTACTGTCATCTTGTAAAATGATTAGGTGCAATATGACAATTTCATTTTTATGATTTACATTCAAGATAGGAAAAAATTGAGCAAAGTGCAGTGACGAAATGAATTTTTTTCATTCAGGTAACTAGGCAATTTAGAAAAGGAGCACTTAGAATGAAATTTCTAGGGAATGATTTCATATTTATTAACATAATAGAGCTTAGTAATCTATCAGTAACTCTTCACATAACCTTGTCGTATGTGTAACAAGGTGAATCAGGAGGCTGCAGTGAGTTATGATGGTACCACTGCACTCTGGCCTGGTTGAAAGAGCAAGACCCTGTCTCTAAAATAAATAATAAAATAAAATGTAAAAAGGTTAATTAGGCTTGAATAAAATCAGGGTTAAAGTGCTGAACCACCCACAAGATTTAAAGAATATTTTTCTATATCTCATGTTTGTAAAATCCACTCACTTTGTTCAGGAATGCTCAAAATCCATTCTGTTTTAAACTATATTCTGTATGTGAGGAAACAGAAAGCACCTCCTAACTGGAGAAAAGGGTGCTTTCCAAGGGACTTCATTGACCAAAAATCCAACACAAAGTAGCTGCCCATGGTCACAAAAATTAAATGGAAAAAAAGACTATTTTAAAT
Source organism: Homo sapiens (assembly GCF_000001405.40). Classification (NCBI taxonomy): domain Eukaryota; kingdom Metazoa; phylum Chordata; class Mammalia; order Primates; family Hominidae; genus Homo; species Homo sapiens. Next base: position 63,062,196 of record NC_000014.9, read on the forward strand.
TGAAAGCAAGCTCATTTCTTCTCAGCAATATTCAGGATAATGCTAGCAACATATCCTCCTTAGCAGACATGAAAAAACAAAAAAACCTCCTCACACACCCTCTGCATTCTCTTTTGTCTAAGATTCTACTTGAAAAACTAGAAGAGAGCTAGCAGAGCTGTCACACACACACACACACACACACACACACACACACACACACACACACAAAATAGCAGAGCATCCAAAAAAAAAAAAAAATAGTGGCCAGGCGCGGTGGCTCAGGCTTGTAATCCCAGCACTTTGGGAGGCCGAGGTGGGTGGATCACAAGGTCAGGAGTTCAAGACCAGCCTGGCCAAGATGGTGAAACCCTGTCTCTACTAAAAATACAAAAATTAGCCACGCATTGTGGCAGGTGTGCCTGTAATCCCAGCTACTCGGGAGGCTGAGGCAGAGAATTGCTTGAACCCTGTGGGGCGGAGGTTGCAGTGAGCCGAGATCATGCTACTGCACTTCAGCCTGGGTGACAGAGTGAGACTCTGTCCACCTCCCCCCCACCGACCAAAAAAAGCAACATTTATCATCACAGTGCCAGGTATAGAGTAGACAGTCAACAGATGTATAGTGGATGATTGTTTGCTCCTTCTTTGAAATGTGTTTCCCTGTTAGCTCTTGTCCTTTCTCAACTGTACCCAAAGTTCTTTTGGCAACATCCATCTCCCAATTTCAGCCAAATGGCATAGATTGCCTTATCCTGGCTACACCAGGAGAGGGTGTCTATTTGGACCAAAGTCAATCAGCATTTCCTATCCACTTTGTCAACCATGTTTGGTTTAAAGATGAGCACACCACTTCAAACTAAAGAAAAGTGCAAAGATTTTATTGAACATTCTTGGGAAGGAGAAGCTTTCTCTCTCTCTTCTGGTTGATGGATTATGAAGTCTAGAATTAAAGCAGCCATTTAGTTGTCTAAAAAGATGAACCTAATGGATCAATAGATGTAGCTTCACATCCTTGGCATCTAGATATTGTTAGAGTGACTTATTGTTCTCTCGATTGCTTAAACTATTGGAATTATGTTTTCTGTCACTTGCAACCAAAAAAATTATAACTAGTTGCAGTAAAAAATTGAATGAAAAAAGTGATAAACCAGGCATCCAACCACAGCACATGGATAAGGAAACATTGCTATAGATACATTCCATATGCAAACACTATGAGCAAAGTTGTAATGTGTCACATAACAACAAAGGGAAAAATTACTACCCATTCCCTACAAAAGATAAAATTAGGGAAAATCTGTCCAGAAGTTTTGATTCCTATCTCTTCTCTTGAATGGTCAATTTTCAAGCAACATGTGGATGATTCGCTTTATAAATTCACAGTAGAAAAGATCCAATTCCAGGAAAACTTTGTTATCCTTTCTCATCCCATGATCTGATTTGCTGTATTTGATTATTTTTATAAAATTGAGCACATATTTTGTAAATCTTGGGAATGGAACTACTTTATCTAGAAGAAAAATAAGTTATGCATTAAGGACTTTATATATGTAATCTCATCAAGCTGCATAATAACTCTGTGGGGAAGATTATAAAGTCTTCACTTTATAAGTGACAAAATAAAAGGAGCTTCAGAAAGGTTATGTAGATTGTGTAAGGTTACACAGAAATTAAATTGTAGAGTTGAGATTTCAGCCCAGGTCTAAGTACTAGAGCTGTGCTTTTGAGTTATTCATTAATTTATTCAATAATTTTGGCATGCCACTGTGATAACTGATGGAAATGCAAAAGAGAATTATTGAAAAGTTCTCCCCACAAAGAGTTTATAGGCTTGGGGAGAAGAAATAAATAAATATGTATGTATGTATAATATATGTATATATGTATAATATATAATATACATATAATATATAATATATATGTGCATGTTTATATATGTGTGTGTGTGTGTGTGTGCAGTTGAATCACCACAATACACAAAAAATGTTTTTACAGAGCAATGAACCAAGTTGGATGGAAACATAGAAGATAAAGCCCGGGAGTAAAAGAAAGGCTTCATAAAGCGGAATGATACTGAGAATCAAAAAATGATTAAGGAGAGATGAAAGAAATATCAAAGAAGAAGCCACAACACTGAGGAGAAAGAGAGAGTGAGAAGAAAGAGAAGGGGAAGGAGAAAGGGAGGGTGAGGGGGAAGAAGGAAGGCAAAAAGGAAGGAGAGAAAAAGAAAGAGTGGGGAAGGAAGAAGAGACAGAAAGCGATTGGAAGGAGAGGAGAGTAGAGGAGGGGGAGGGCAGGGGAGGGGAAGGGAGGGGAGAAAGAAAGGAAAGAAAGACAAGAAAGACAGGGCGGGCCGCGGTGGCTCACGCCTGTAATCCCAACACTTTGGGAGGCCGAGGCGGGTGGATCACGAGGTCAGGAGATCAAGACCATCCTGGCTAACACGGTGAAACCCCATCTCTACTAAAAAATACAAAAACAAAAAATTAGCCGGGTGTGGTGGCGGGCGCCTGTAGTCCCATCTACTTCGGAGGCTGAGACAGGAGAATGGCTTGAACCCGGGAGGCGGAGCTTGCAGTGAGCCAAGTTCGTGCCACTGCTCTCCAGCCTGGGTGACAGAGCAAGACTCCCTCTCAGAAAAAAAAAAAAAAAAAAAAAGACAGACAGAAGGAAGGAAGGAAGGGAGGGAGGGAGGGAGGGAGGGAAGGAGGGAGGGAGGGACAAACTAGCCTGGAAGGCGCTGGACACCAAGGATTTGGATAAGGGTGTGGGCAAGGAAGGAGAGAAATCGAAAATTAAATTGGAGAGGCCCACTACATAATAGAGTGGGAAAGGAAATACTGATATTAATATACATTTTGCCTCTTTTTAAGTAGGTTTGGGCCTAAACTGGAGACATTTTTAAGCTGTATTATCACTTTTGCTGTAGTTGTTTAAGAGGAATCATGACAATGAGATAGCAACCAAACAAATAACCATGTTCTCATTAGAAACTTTAGTGCTACGGAAGACACCAGGCTTTCTGCTCTACGATCTATGCTACAGTGGCATATTGCCAAGGAGAAGAGAACGTACTGCTGTTTGCAAAGGAGAAGAGAGAGCAAACGATCATACTGTATATACCTTATTTAAAACTTGGAAAGCAAACTGCATGGTTTTGGAAAACACCGTTGAAGCTGAAAGTTTTCAGGAATATTCAGCAATTACTGGAAATTTTCAAATACAAGGGTTTCTGCCAACCATAAAAGTGTCTACCTCTGATGTATTAGGTGGCAGAATAATGATTCATTTAATTTAATGGCAGTAGAAATAGCCAGGTGTTAATCCACCCATGCAGGCACAGCTTTAAATATATACATATATAACAGTTGCAGGGTAGAAAGAACTAGCACAGTGCTTCCTGTGTTTTGCCGCCGCTTACATAGTGAATCTCTTCTCTTTAGTATGCTAAGCTCAATGATGCACTTTCCTAATATATACAGTGACAATAGTGAATTTACAGAAAATAAAATTATTATTCACTCTGCTTGCTGCCTCCACTGTTGAAAGATAGTATTGTAATTTCAGCCACCAATATTTAACAGTGTTTATCTTGGTGAGATTTAAATTTTCAGACATAGTGAAAGTAAGTTATGTGACTAATAAATGTCACTTGTGCATATTTTAAAATTAAGACAATGTAGTTTTGGAAAGTAATTATATGAGAAAACCTTAGCTCAAGAAATAAGTCAAAACTAATGTTCAATATTTTTGGAATATGAATTTCCTGCAGTAGTCTCCAGTTAACCCTTTAACAACATGGTGGGTTTTTTCTTTTGAGCTTTCATTTGCTTAGTATTTATTTATTTATTTTTAGATTTTGAATACAATTTGTTGTTTTCGTTTTTAATTTTTATGGGTACATAGTAAATATATATATTTATGGGGTACATGAGATGTTTTGGTACACAATGGGAAATAAGCACATCAGCCAGAAAAAAAGGAGCATGGGGTGTCCATCCCCTCAAGCATTTATCTTTTGAGTTACAAACAATCCAATTATACTCTTTAAGTTAATGGAAAACAATTTTGACAAATGAATTTTTAAAAACTTATCCTATTAGTTTAGGGTGTGTGTGTGTGTGTGTGTGTGTGTGTGTGTGTGTGTGTGTGTGTGTTTAGAGACAGAGTCTTGCTATGTTGCCCGGACGCAAACTCCTGGGCTCAAGCAATCTTCCCAAGTAGCTGAGAATACAGGCATGCACCACCATGCCTGGCTTTACTGATTTGGGTGTTTTTTTTTTTTTTCAGTAGGTTTTGGGGAACAGGTGGTGTTTGTTTATGTGAATAAGTTCTTAAGCGGTGATTTCTGAGATTTTAGTGCACCCATCACCCAAGCAGTGTACACTGTAATGTGTAGTCTTTTATCCCTCACCCCCTCCCACCCTTTCCCCCAAGTCCCCAAAGTCCATTGTATCATTTTATGCCTTTGAGTCCTCATAGCTTAGATCCCACTAATAAGTGAAAATTACAATATTTGGTTTTCCATTCCCCAGTTACTTCACTTAGAATAATGGGCTCCAATTCCATCCAGGTTGCTGCAAATGCCATTATTTCATTCCTTTTTATGGCTGAGTAGTATTCCATGGTGTGTGTATATACACACTTGCATTAAATGACTTCTTTTCTGCTGGGTAGATGCCCAGGGGTGGGATTCCTGGATCAAATGGTAGATCTATTTTTAGTTCCTTAAGGACTCTCCACACTGTTTTCCATAGTGGTTGTACTAGTTTACATTCCCACCAAGAGTGTAAAAGTGTTTCCATTTCACCACATCCATGCCAACACCTATTATTTTTTGATTTTTTGATTATGGACATTCTTGCAGGAGTAAGGGGGTATCACCTTGTGGTTTTGATTTGCATTTCCCTGATCATTAGAGATGTTGAGCTTTTTTTCACTTTTATTGGCCATTTGTCTATCTTCTTTTGAGAATTGTCTATTCATGTCCTTAGCCCATTTTTTGATGGAATTGTTTTTTTCCTGCTGATTTGTTTGAGTTCCTGGTAGATTCTGGATATTAGTCATTTGTCAGATGTATAGATTGTGAAGATTTTCCCACACTCTGTGGGTTGTCTGTTTACTCTGCTGATTATTTCTTTTGCTGTGCCAATGCTCTTTAGTTTAATCTAGTCCCATCTATTTATCTTTTTGTTGCATTTGCTTTGGGGTTCTTGGTCATGAAGTCTTTGCCTAAGCCAATTTCTAGAAGGGTTTTTCCAATATTACCTTCTAGAATTTTTATGGTTTCAGGTCTTAGATTTAAGTCTTTGATTCATCTTCAGTTGATTTTTGTATAAAGTGAAAGATGAGGATCCAGTTTCACTCTTCTACATGTGGCTTGCCAATTATACCAGCACCATTTTTTGAATAGGGTGTCCTTTCCTCACTTCCTGTTTTTGTTTGCTTTGTCAAACATCAGTTGACTATAAGTATTCAGGTTTATTTCTGGGTTCTCCATTCTGTTCCATTGGTCTATATACCTGTTTTTATACCAGTAGCATCCTATTTTGGTGACTATGGCCTTATAGTATAGTTTGAAGTTGGGTAATGTAATGCCTCCAGATTTGTTATTTTTGCTTAGTCTTGCTTTGGCTCTTTTTTGATTCCATATGAATTTTAGTGTTTTTTTTCCTAGTTCTGTGAAGAATGATGGTGGTATTTTAATAGAAATTGCACTGAATTTGTAGATCGCTTTTGGCAGTATGGTCATTTTCACAATAATAATTCTACCTATCCATGAGCATAGGATGTATTTCCATTTGCTTGTATCATCTATGATTTCTTTTAGCAGTGTTTTGTGGTTTTCTTTGTAGAGGTCTTTCACCTCCTTGGTTAAGTATATTCCTGAGTATTTTATTTTATTTTATTTTATTTTTTATTTTATTTTATTTTATTTTATTTTTGAAGCTATTGTAAAAGGGGTTAAGTTCTTGATTTGATTCTCAGCTTGGTTGCTGTTGGTATATAGCAGAGCTACTGATTTGTGTACATTAATTTTGTATCCTGAAACTTTGCTGAATTATTTACCAGTTCTAGGAACTTTTTTGATGAGTCTTTTGGGCTTTCTAAATATACAATCATGTCATCAGCAAACAGCGACAGTTTGACTTCCTCTTTACCAATTTGTATGCCCTTTATTTCCTTCTCTTGTCTGATTGCTCTGGCTAGGACTTCCAGTACTACGTTGAATAAAAGTGGTGAAAGTGGGCATTCTTGTCATGTTCCAGTTCTCAGGGGGAATGTGTTCAACTTTTCAGTATAATGTTGGCTGTGGGTTTCTCATAGATGCTTTTTATTACCTTAAGCCATGTCCCTTCTATGCCAATTTTGCTAAAGGTTTTAATCATGAAGTGATGCTGGATTTTGTCAAATGCTTTTACTGCATCTATTGAGATAACTATGTGATTTTTTTTTAATTCTGTTTATGTGGTGTATCACATTTATTGATTTGTGTATGTTAAGCCATCCCAGCATCCCTAGTATGAAACCCACTTAATCATGGTAGATTATCCTTTTGATATGCTGTTGGATTTCGTTAGCTAGTATTTTGTAGAGGATTTTTGCATCCTATGTTCATCAGGGATATTGGTCTTTACTTTCCTTTTTTTATTATATCTTTTACTGGTTTTGGTATTTGTATGATACTGGCTTCATAGAATGATTTAGGGAGGATTCTCTCTTTCTCTATCTTGTGGAATAGTGTCAATAGGATTGGTACCAATTCTTCTTTGAATGTCTGATATAATTCATCTGTGAATCTATCTGGTTCTGGACTTTTTTGTGTTGGTAACTTTTTAATTGCCATTTCAATCTCACTGCTTGTATTGGGTCTGTTCAGAGTTTCTATTTCTTCCTGGTTTAATCTAGGAGGGTTGTATATTTCCATAAATTTAGTTTATGCATGTAAAAGTATTCATAGTAGCCTTGAATGATCTTTTATATTTCTGTGGTATCGGTTGTAATATCTCCCATTTCATTTCTAATTGAGTTTATTTGGATCTTCTTGCTTCTTGGTTTATCTTGCTAATGGTCTATCAATTGTATTTATCTTTTCAAGAAACCCGCTTTTTGTTTCATTTATTTTTGGTATTTTTTGTTTGTTTCAATTTCATTTGGTTCTCCTCTGATCTTGGTTATTTCTTTTCTTCTGCTGAGTTTGGGTTTGTTCTTTTTTCTCTAGTCTTTAGATTGTCTGTTTGTGCTCTTTCAGATTTTTTGATGTACGCATTTAATGCTATGACCTTTTCTCTTAACACCACCTTTGCTGTATACCAGAGGTTTTGATATGTTGTGTCACTATCATTCAGTTCAAATACTTTTCTAATTTTCCTCTTGGTTTCATTGTTGAGCCAATGATCATTCAGGAGGAGGTCATTTAATTTCCATGTATTTGCATAGCTTTGAGGGTTCCTTTTGGAGTTGATTTCTCATTTTATTCCACTGTGATCTGAGAAAGTACTTGCTATAATTTCAATTTTCTTAAATTTGTTGAGACTTGTTTTGTGGCCTATCATATGGTCTATCTCGGAGAATGTTCCATGTGCTGATTAATATAATTTTTATTCTGCGGTTGTCAGGTAGAATGTTCTGTAAGTATCTGTTAAGTACATTTGTTCTAGGGTACAGTTTATGTCCATTGTTTCTTTGTTGACCTTCTCTTGATGACTTGTCTAGTGCTGTCAGTGGAGTACTGAAGTCCCCCACTATTACTGTGTTGCTGTCTATGTCATTCCTTAGGTCTAGTAGTGATTGTTTTATAAATTTGGGAGCTCCAGTGTTAGGTGTATATATATTTAGGATTGTGACATTTTTCTGATGGACAAGTCCTTTCTTTTTTTTTTTTTTTTTTTTTTTTTGAGACAGAGTCTTGCTCTGTCGCCCAGGCTGGAGTGTAGTCGCACGATCTCGGCTCACTGCAAGCTCCGCCTCCCGGGTTCACACCATTCTCCTGCCTCAGCGTCCCGAGTAGCTGGGACTACAGGCACCTGCCACCATGCCCAGCTAATTTTTTGTATTTTTAGTGAGATGGGGTTTCACCATGTTAGCCAGGATGGTCTCGATCTCCTGACCTCGTGATCCTCCCGCCTCGGCTTCCCAAAGTGCTGGGATTACAGGCATGAGCCACCGTGCCTGGCCGACAAGTCCTTTCATCATTATATAATGTTCCTCTGTCTTTTTTAACTGCTGTTGCTTTAAAGTTTGTTTTGTCTGATATAAGAATAGCTACCCCTGCTTGCTTTTGATGTCCATTACATGGAATATCTTTTTTCACCCCTTTAAGTTTATGTGAGTCCTTATGTGTCAGGTGAGTCTCTTGAAGACAGCCAATACTTGGTTGGTGAATTCTTATTCATTCTGCCATTCTGTATCACTTAAGTGGAGCATTTAGGCCATTTACATTCAACATCAGTATTGGGATGTGAAGTACCATTCTACATATAGTGCTATTTGTTGCCTTAATACCTTGGGTTTTTTTCATTGTGTTGTTGTTTTTCAGGTCCTGTGAGATTTATGCTTTAAGGAGATTCTATTTTGGTGTATTTCAAGGGTTTGTTTCAAGATTTAGAGCTCCTTTTAGCAGTTCTTGTAGTTCTGGCTTGGTAGTGGTGAATTCTCTCAGCATTTGTTTATCTAAAAAGACTATATCCTACCTTCATTTATGAGGCTTAGTTTTGCTGGATACAAAGTTCTTGGCTGATAATTATTTTGTTTAAGGAGGCTAAAGCTAGGACCATCAACCCTTCTAGGTTGTCCTAGTTGTAGAGTTTCTGCTGAGAAACTGCTGTTAATCTGACAGGTTTTCCTTTATAGGTTACCTGATGCATTTGCCTCACAACTCTTAAGATTCTTTCCTTCATCTTGACTTTAGATAACCTGATGACTACATGCCTAGGCAATGATGTTTTTGTGATGAATTTCCCAGTTGTTCTTTGAGCTGCTAGATCTCTATCAAGACTTGGGGAGTTTTCCTTGATTATTCCCTCAAATATATTTTCCAAACTTTTAGATTTCTCTTCCTCCTCAGGAACACCAATTATTCTTAGGTTTGGTCATTTAACATAATCCCAAACTTCTTGGAGGCTTTGTTCATTTTTTTTTTTTTTAATTCTTTTTTCTTTGTGTTTGTTGGATTGGATTAATCTGAAAGCCTGAAGTTCTTTCTTTTACTTGTTTTATTCTATTCCTGACACCTTCCAGTGCATTTTGCAATTCTCTAGGTGTGTCCTTCATTTCCAGAAGTTTTGATTGTTTTTTATTTATGCTATCTATATGGAGATTTTTCCATTTATATCCTATATCATTTTTTTTTATTTCTATTAAGTTGGACTTCACCTTTCTCTGGAGCCTCCTTGATTGGCTTAATAGTTGACCTTCTGAATTCTTTTTCTGGCAATTCAAAAATTTTTATCTGTGGTTTGGATATATTGCTGGTGGGCTGGTGTGATCTTTTGGGGGTGTTAAAGAACCTTGTTTTGTCATATTATCCAAGTTGTTTTTCTGGTTCCTTCTCATTTGGGTAGACTACGTCAGAAGGAAGATCTGAGGTTCAAGGGCTGCTGTTCAGATTCTTTTGTCCCATAGGGTACTCCCTTGATGTAGTGCTCCCCCTTTCCCCTAAGGATGGGGCTTCCTGACAGCTGAACATCGTTAGTTCTCTTCTGGATCTAGCTATCCAGTGGAATTACCAGGCTCTGGGCAGGTACTGGGGAGTGTCAGCAAAGAGTCCTGTGATGTGAACCATCTTCAGGTCTCTCAGCCATGGATACCAGCACCTGCTCCAGTGGAGGCAGCAAGGGAGTGAAGTGGACTCTGTGAGGGTCCTTTGTTGTATTTTTAGGTGCGCTGGTTTTGTGTTGGTTGGCCTCCAGCCTGGAGGTGACACTTTCAAGAGCACATCAGTTGTGGTAGTATAGGGAGGATCCGGCAGTGGGCGAGCCATAGAACTCCCAAGAGATTCTGTCCTTTGTCTTCAGCTACTAGGGCAGATAGAGAAAGACTATCAGGTTGGGGCAGGGTTAAGCATGTCTGAGCTCAGGCTCTCTTTGAGCAGGGCTTGCTGCGGCTGCTGCAGGGGATGGTGGGGTGGTTCCCAGGCCAATGGAGTTATGTTCCTAGGGGGATTATGGTTGTCTCTGCTGTATCACAGGTCATCAGGGAAGTGGGGGAAAGCCAGCAGCCACAGGCCTCACCCAGCTCCCATGGAGCCCACAGCTGGAAAGACTGGTCTCACACCCACCATGCTCCCCCAACAGCACTGAGTTTATTTCCAGGCAGCTGGTGAGCAGGGCTTAGAACTTGCACCAGGCTACAAGCCTCCCAGCTGAGAAAGCAATTAGACTCACAGTTCCTTGGCTGTCCCACCGAGTCTGCAGCAGCCATCCACCTCCCTCAAAGGGACTGTGAATTCTCTCTGCTTTCCTGGTATGTTCCTGTGGTAGTTCTTGGAGCAACAATTCGAAACGTGGGTCTCCATTCACTGCTCTGTCTGTCCGAGTAGGAGCTGCAAGTTAGTCCTGCCTGCTATCTGCCATTTTCCCAGCACTCTCCCAGCATGGGTTTTAACTGCACAGGTTTATCATATACTTGGATTTTCTTCCACCTCTGCCACTCCTGAGACAGCAAAACCAACCCCTCCTCCTCATCCTCCTTCTCAGCCTACTCAATGTGAAGGTGACAAAGATGAAGACCTTATGATAATCACTTCTACTTAGTGAATAACAAATATGTTTTCTCTTCCTTATGATTTTCTTAATATTTTCTTTTCTCTGGCTTACTTTATTATAAGAATACAGTATATAATACCTATACAAAATATGTGTTAATCATTTATATTATTAATAAGGCTTCCAGTCAACAGTAGGCTATTAGTAGTTAAGTTTTAGGGGAGTCAAAAGTTACACATGGATTTTTGACTGTGGAGGTTATGAAGCAGTGAAGAGTGTGGAACATGGGCCCAGACTATGCAGCTGAATTCCAGTTCTGTTGCTTGCTGGCTAAGTGGCTATAGGTATATTCCTTATCTATAAAATTAAAATAATAACAGTAATTACTACATAGGGTTTTGTGAGGATTAAATGAGATTTTACATACAAGCAATGCTTCATGAATATATCATTCAATACATATACATATATTCCCTCGATCCATGAAAGGCCTTAAACTCTGTGGAAGACAAATGAACACAACATGGTCTCTAATTATGAAGACTTCACCAGTTAATAGGAATGCCAAAACATGAGCAGAGACAACAATCATTCATTTCAATAAATATGTATCACCTTTGTTATATACACAAGCTGTTGTCCCAGGTGCTGAGGGAAAGCACTGTATATCATCTTAATTTATAACTCCTCACCTTATTGCATATATGATAATAAGACACGTTCAATATAAAGTGCGTTTGAAACACAGAGTTAGAAGTTATTGCCAGTAGGTGAAGGGAGATCGTAACTAGATACAAGATAATCCAGATGCCAAAGATTGGCAGGATTTTAGCATGTTAAATACAATGCATGTGCAGTAATGGGTTAACTCAACAGGCCTGGGTTATTCAAACCCTACACATTACAAAGAAAAGGCTGACCCTTGGCTAGTTCCTTGGAGAAAAGCTCTAAGCCATTGGAATGTCCCACTTGATCAGATTGTCTTGGTATGTCTGGGGCCTTGGGCCATGGGCCATGCCATGGAGTTTATGCTAGCAATGTGATTTACAGTGGGGGTCTGGGCCATGCTGTATCAGACTTTCCTCTGAATGACCTGAAGACTAAATAACCAAGGTTGGCCACATGGGTGCCCCACACCTACGTAACAGACCTACAATCAAAACTCTGTAAACCTAGGCTAAGGTGAACTTTCCTGGTTGACAATACTCCATCACATTGTCACATATCAATGCTGGGAAAAATAAGCACTGTCCATACAACTCCACTGCAAGAAGACAACTGGAAGCTTGTGCCTGGTTTCTCCTGAACTCTGCCCTATGCACTGTTTTTCTTTTTTTATTCCAATTTGTATCATTTGACTGTAATAAACTGCAACCATGACTATAACAGCTTCTCTGAGTTCTGTGAGTACTTCTGGTGAATTATGGAACTCGAGTGGGGTCTTGAGGACCCCTGACACAGGGTGTCCAATAACCAGCACCATAAAAGATGGGTAGGATGTCAGCATCTCAAATATGGGGCAAAAAGCAATTTTGGAGACATGAGAGTTGCACCACAAAAAAAGCTTTAAATATTTCTATGTCAATGCAGTCTCAAGACTGGAAATGATTTTTAAGCATCTGAGACATATAGACATATAGATCTATAAGTAGTATTACCAATCAGCAATCAACAAATCAATTTCTACCAGGAACAGATATATTCCACAATTTTTTATTTATTTAAGAATCATTCTATAATATTTTCATTCAGCTTCTTAGATCTCAGACCTTCTTTTTACTATTAAATACAAATCATAAAGTATTTTTCTATAATTCTCATTTTAAAGCTAGTGATTTCTTCTGTTACATGTAGGGTTAAATCCTTTTGCTAAATCACCAGAATAATTATTTTCAAACATTGATAGATGTTTATTCACTAAATTCAAAAAAACTGATTTGCAACAAAATTTTTTTTTTTTTTGAGACAGAGTCTCGTTCTGTCACACCCCGTCTCTACTAAAAAAATACAAAAAAATTAGCCGGGCGTGGTGGCGGGTGCCTGTAGTCCCAGCTACTTAGGAGGCCAAGTCAGGAGAATGGAGTGAACCTGGGAGGTGGAGCTAGCAGTGAGCCCAGATCACAACAAAGATTTTTATAACATGTATTAAAATACTTTTTCCCCAAATTAGATCTATATTGCAACTCAATATGAATAAGTTCAGCAATAAGTTAACTCAATATGAATAAGTTATATTCGAGGGCACTAACGTATGCCCTCGAATATAACATTTATGATCCTTGCTTTTTGATACTATCCTAGTATTTATGATACTAGTGCCTTGCTAACAGAAATTTGATCAGGTATGGTGAAAGAAAATTTTAGCACGGTGTTTTGCTTTCAGTGAACTCGTCAAATGTTTACTGAATGAATGAGTATATATATAAAATGGAGGAAAAGAAGGAAATGATTAGAAATATACTTTGGAAAGAAAGAATGTCAGCTGGGCGCAGTGGTTCACGCCTGTAATCCCAGCACTTTGGGAGGCTGAGGCAGGCGGATCACCTGAGGTCAGGAGTTTGAGACCAGGATGGCCAACATGGTGAAACCCCGTCTCTACTAAAAATACAAAAATTAGCTGGACGTGGTGGCGGGCACCTGTAATACCAGCTACTTGGGAGGCTGAGGCAGGAGAATCGCTTGAACCTGGGAGGCAGAGGTTTCAGTGAGCCGAGACCGCGCCATTGCACTCCAGCCTGGGCAACAAGAGCAAAGCTCTATCTCAAAAAAAAAAAAGAAAGAAAGAAAGAATGTGAAATTTAATGTAGGGACTCAAAATGGGATGATTGTCAGCAAAAATAATAAAATATGTAATGGAAAATAATTAGTCTAAAGGTTATATGACAACTAAATAAAACAAATATTTGGAGTCTAAGTTTTCTTAATTATTGTGCTTCATAATAATATTAAAATAATTCACATATATCCTAGTTATAGAAAAAATATATTTACATCCTAAAATTCATATGGAATCTCAAGAGATCACAAATAGCTTCACTGGACCCGATGGCTTCATTGGTGAATTCTACAAAACTGAAATAATGAATGCATACAATAAAACATAGATGGTTATTTGTAATCTTGAATTTGAAAAAACTTTCTGAGCCTGAAAACAAAAACAGTTCATTAAGGAACTAGTTGGTATATCTGGCTACAAAAAAATTACAAATGTCTGTATTTTGGAACACTATTTAAAATGTTTTCATTTACAAGCTAAATATTGTGTGCAAATATATAATAGACCAGTGATTCATATCTCTAATATATGTAAAATGTTCTTACAAATCAGTAGAAAGGTATGAACACTTATTAATGAGAAGGATAATCAACATGATCAATTCACAACAGAAGTTTTTTTATCTAATAAATATGAAAAAATTCAACTGTACTAGTTATTAACTAAATTCAAATTATCAATATTTCCACCTGGTTTAATTCATCATATTGGCAAAGATATCTTTAGTTTATAAAAACCCATGTTTTTTCAGAATGTAGAAATGGTCCTCACCATATTTCTGGTGATATCTACCCTGGGTAATAATTTTCCAATACATCAAAATCATTTTTGTCAGCTTGTATATCCAGTTGCAAGGATTATTATTAAAGTTTGGAGCATATCCCACATATCTCATCAACTATTTGGACCTTCTTTAGATAAACAATGGCATTCCCTTTGAGTATGAGTTGTTCAATTTTATAGTATTTGAAAAATTAGTCACATGTGATAGTTGGCAAGGATAAGGAGTTTGGGAGTATTGTGACTAAAGAACAGGGTTGCCTCCTAATATCCTTTTTCATAAAGGGAAGACAGCAACAAAGAGTATAACAAACAAAATTATGCAAAGAAGCTCATGGTAATCAGTGGCTCTTAGAATCAGGGAATCTTGTGCCAATGATCTTGCCTACTTCATATTGTTTTTGCTTCTGAAGCCAACTGTTACAAATTCTGACTCAGTCACCTGGCAGTAGTGATGATGTCAGTGATACCTGTAAGTGTATTTTCTATATTATCTGTTTCACTTGCTGTGTTCCAGAACTAAAATCAATTTTGGCTACTATCACGGCATAACCAATTTTTCCAAAATTTAGTGGCTTAAAACAACATTTAATTTGCTCATAGAGTTGCAACCCAAGCAGGAATTGTCAAGCCAGCTTATCTCTGCTTTACTAGGTATCGACTGGGACAGCCTGAAGGATGGGGTTTGCAATCATCTGAAAGTTTGCTCATTCACGTGTCTGATGGTTAATGCTGGCCTTAGGTGGAGACCTTAGCTGGAGATGCAGGTCAGAACACCTTGTACACGACCCAGCTTCCTCACAGCATAGTAAGAGAGAGATACTATTACAGTTCCTTACTTAGATTCTTTTAATATTCCTTCCAGAACACACATTCCAGAGCTTAATCTTAAATCACAGGCCATTAGGTGAATGTAAATGTTGTCTATACTTGTATATTTCAAAATAGCTAAAAGAAAGGATTTTAAATGTTTTCATCACAAAGAAATAAATACTTGAGGTGATACGTATATTAATTAGCCTGATTTTATCATTCCACAATGTATACAGGTATTGAAACATCACATTGTACCCCGTAAATATATACAATTATAATTTGTCACATAAAAATAAAACAAAGTAAAAAAGAAGCAAAAATCCCTGTGGATAATAAAACTAAAGGCTCTGGTTAATTTATTATAACAATAACAACAGCAGAATGAAAGAGAACAAAACCCTCTACTGAGCTGTAACATATAATCAATTTTATAAAGATTTAGTCACTGATTATGCTGGCAGAAAGATTATCTTATGAAAAGTAACAAAATTGACAAACCTCTAGGCCCTTAATTTATTTCATAAATTGTATTGTGATTGTTTCTGATTGACAAGAGCATTTAAACCTAGAACTAAACCTTTCTGAAGATATTATGATAGTTTATTTTAATATGAAGGATACACAGTCATTGAAATATATTCATACTAACATTTTATTTATACATAAATACCCTAGGAAGGCTGAAATTCTCTTTTGATGTATTGATATGCTGTATTGTTTCCTTATTCTAAGTTTGGTAAACAAAAGTACTCTCACTATAGCTTTGAATTAACTAAAATGTAGAGAATGCCAAGCAAGCATAATTATTCCTATAGTCTTTCTCTTACAAGGATAAAGAAGAAAATCTCTGTGTTTCATGGTGGCCTTTCCAGGAAGCTCAAAGAAATTTTAAACATAAACGTCATCCCAACAGTTTTATTATTATAAATTTTGGACCTGATTTGGGAAATCAAAAAGACTTGGCAGAGAAGACAAGAACATAAGTCACAAGTATCCAAAGAAAAGAAATAGTTACATGCAATAATTTTAAATAAGTAACCATGACTATTAATATTTTTAGCCTTAAAAAGTAAGTAATCCTTTTCCAAAGTAATTTAAAAGTATTCAAAAAGAACAGAGTTAACAGAACAATTTATTAATAAAAGAAATATCTGTTGTCTAGACACAATAACTTTGCTACATAAATGAAAGCAAAACAAAAACCCCAAATTCTAGTGTTAGTTTTTGTTTATGCAGTCCATATAGCAACTTGCAATAAAGTATTTGTAACCTTTTCTTTCTTTATATAGAAATGAACACAAATTTCTCAAAAATTTCAACATATTTCCTCATAGCTTTTCAACTCATTAGTTGCAAACATTATAATCCTATACTATGTATGGCCTCAAATTTTTCTTTTATAGCTTTATCAAGACACATATCTCTCACGAACATAGTTGCAAAACTCCTCAAAAAATACTAGCAAATAAAATCTAGGCAAACATAAAAAGAAAAATATTGCACAACCAAGTGAAATTTACCCTAGAAATACAAGTTTGATTTAACATGCAAAAATCAATTGATGCAATTCATCATGCCAAAAGAATGAAGGAGAAAAATCACAATCATTTAACAGATGCAGAAAAAGCATTTAACAAAGTTCAACAGCCATGTATAATAACTCTCTGCAAATTAGAAACAGAAGGGACTTTTTTTAACCTAATAAATTACATCTAAGCAAGACCTACAGTTAACATCATGCATAATTGTGAAATAGTGAATGCTTTCTTTCTAAGATCAAGGACAAAACAAGCATGTCCACTCTCACCATTTCTATTCAACCAGTGCAATTGGCATAAATAGTAAATATAAAAGATAAAGATTAAGAAGAAAGAAGTAAAACAGTTTCTCTTCACAGATTACATGACAGTTTTGGTAGAAAATCCTAATGATTCTAAATGAATTTAGCAAGGTCTGGGGATAGAAACTCAATATACAAAAATAAAGTGAATATACTGTAGTAAACCATTGGAAAATGATTTTTGATGTCATTTACAATAACATCAAAAATAGTAAATAATTAGGAATGTACTGAATTAACAAAGACATATGAGATATAAACAACGAAAACTAGGCTGGGCGCGGTGGCTCACGCCTGTAATCCCAGCACTTTGGGAGGCTGAGGTGGACAGATCATGAGGTCAGGAGATCGAGACCATCCTGGCTAACACGGTGAAACCCCGTCTCTACTAAAAAAAAATACAAAAAAATTAGCCGGGCGTAGTGGCGGGCGCCTGTAGTCCCAGCTACTCAGGAGGCTGAGGCAGGAGAATGGCGTGAACCCGGGAGGCGGAGCTTGCAGTGAGCCGAGATCACGGCACTGCTCTCCAGCCTGGGTGACAGAGTGAGACTCCGTCTCAAAAAAAAGAAAACTATTAAGTACTGCTGTTATTAAAGAAGACCTAAATAAATGGACCAATATACCATGTTCATATTTTAGAAATAATATTGTTAAGGTGTCAGTTATTTCCAAACCAATCTAGCAATTCAACACAAATTCAATTATATTCTCAGCTGGCATTTTGTAAAAACTGGTGAGCTCTCTCTAAAATCTACATGAAAAAGCAAAGATCCTAGAATACCTAAATTGTTTTGGAAATGAAGAAAAGTTGAAGGACTCAAACTACCTGAAATTAAGATCTATGCTATGGTTTGGCTGTGTCCCCACCCAAATCTCATCTTGAATTGTACTCCCATAATTCCCCCATGTTGTGCAAGGGACCCAGTGGGAGATAATTGAATCATGGGGGCAGTTCCCCCCATACTGTTCTCATGGTAATGAATACGTCTCATGAGATCTGATGATTGTATAAGGGGTTTCCCCTTTAGCTTGGCTTTCATTCTCTCGTCTGCCACTATGTAACACATGCCTTTCACCTTCTGTCATAACTGTGAGGCCTTCCCAGCCATGTGGAACTGTGAGTCCATTAAATTTCTTTTTCCTTATAAATCACCAAGTCTCGAGTATACCTTTATGTATAACACACACATATATACACACACACACCACACACATATTTCTTTATAAAAATATTAAGCCTCAAAATTAATTTGAGATGGATTGTAGACTTAAAGGTAAAAGCTAAAAAACTTCACTTAAAAAGATTTAGCTACAAAGCTGCTAAAAGAAAAAAAATGGGAGAATATCTTTGAGATATGAAGATAGGCAAAAGTTTCTTAGGATATAGAAAGCCAAATCATGAAATAAAAATAATGTTAAATTAGACTTTATCAAAATTAAAACTTCTTCTCATCAAATGACACTATCAAGAAAATAAATAGGGGCCGGGTACAATCCCAGTGCTTTGGGTGGTCAAGGTAGGAGGATTGCTTGAGGCCAGAAGTTTGAGACCAGTCTGGGCAACATAATGAGACCCTATCTCTAAATTTTTTTTTTTTAATTAGCCGAGCATGGTGGTAGATGCTTGCAGTCCCAGCTATTTGGGAGGCTGAGGCAGGAGGATCACTTGAGCTCAGGAGTTCAAAGCTGCAGTGAGCTATTATCATGCCACTACACTCCAGCCTGGGCAAGAGTGAGATCTTGTCTCTTAAAAAAAAATGGAGAAAGGGGAGAAGAAAAAAAGAAAGAAAAAAATGAATAGGCATAGTACAAACCAGAAAAATATATTTACAATACATATTTCTGACAAAGAATTTGTATCCAGAATGTATAATAAGCTTCTAAATTCATTATCTTTATATGTATATATTAAGTTACAACATACATAAATGTGTATACATATATAGGATGTTACCTAATGATAAGCAGGCCGGCCACTTCTCCAAGAAATCATAGCAACCTTAAATGTATAAATACACTGCATGATGATGATTCTGGACTGGATGCTAGAATGAAGGGATGAAGGGAAGATAGCTATAAGACTAATATCAGTCAACTGAAATTGTAATACAAACTGTGGATAAGAATCCTATTTTATCAATATTAAGTTTCTGATTTTGATATCTGTACTGGGATTTTGTAAGAGAATGTTCTTTTTCTTAGGAAATACATTCCAAAATATTTGGGTGAGGGCAGGTTGTCCCCAGTTTACTTTCAAGTGATTCAGAAAAAAACTAATATACATAGACACACATACACAAACACACACACACACACACACACACACACACATCTATATATATACATAGAGAGAGAGCCTGATAACGCAAATGGATGAAATCTAAATATAAAAAGCTGTCAAATCTGAATAAAGTATATATGGGAGTTCCTTATACTATTGCAACTTTATTGTAAGCTTGTATATCAAATTAAAATGTCATAAACATTAATGGTCCAGAGGACTCTGGGGAGATGGCAGAGTAGGAAGCACCAGATATCTCTCTACCAATCTAGACACCAATTACATTGGCAGACTCTGTCTAATGTAACTATTTTGGAACTCAGGAGTCTATTGAAGACTTGAAATTCCCACTTCCAGGTTTGGATGATAAATTATGGTTAATTTCGGTCCATTTCAGCTCTTAGTACAGTAGCAGCTACTCATCCTCCACCCATAGCTCCATGTCAAGAAGCTGTATTTGTGTTCCTGAAGCAACCTTCACACAGTATTCAGGATCAAACGAGTGGGGGAAGAGGGAAGCAAACACCGGGGAAGGGAAAGAATCTGATTTCCACAATTACCACATTATTAGATTCAAAGGTCCAGTTTTCAACAAAATACCACAAATCATACCAAAAAAACAAGAACGTATAATCCACTTAAAGGAAAAAAATAAGTCAACAGAAACTATTCTTGAAAAAGACCTGTGGCAGATATACTAGACAAAGACTTTAAAACAACTATCTTAAAGACAATGAAAGAACTGAAAGGAGATGTCGAAAGAATCAAGAAAATAATATGTGACTTAAAATGGTAATATCAGTAAAAAGATAGAAAATCTTGTAAAAGACCAAAAAGAAATTCTGGAGCTGAAAAGTCAATAACTTAAATGAAAAATTTACTAGAGGGATTCAAATCCAGATTAGAGAAAACAGAAGAAAAAATCAGTTAACTTGAAGAGAGGACAATGGAAATTATCAAGTTTAACAATTAATAGAATGAAGAGACAATCTGTAGAATGGGAGGACATATTAGCAAACTATTCATCCACCAAAGGACTAATATCCAGAATATACAAGGAACTCAAACATCTTAACAGCAAAAACATAAATAATCCCATTAAGAGAGGGCCAAGGATCTGAATAGACATTTCTTAAAAGACATACAAATGGCTAGGAGTTATATGACAAGAAATTCTCAAAATCACTAATCATCAGGGAAATGCAAATCAAAATGACAATGGGATATCACCTCAACCTAGTTAGAATGGTTATTACCAGAAAGACAAAAAATAAGAAATGTCGGTGAGGATATGGAGAAAACAGAACCTTTATACACTGTTGGTGGGAACATAAATTAGTATAGCCATTATGAACAATAGTATGGAGGTTTCTAAAAAAAAAAAACTGACAGTAGAACTACCATACAATCCAACAATCTCATTACTGAGTAGTTATCCAAAGGAAAAAAAAAGTCAATATATCAAAGTGATACCTGCAACCCCATGTTTATTGCAGCACTTTTCACAATAGCCAATATATGGACTCAATTTAAGTCTCCATCAATGGATGAATAGATAAAGAAAATTTGGTATATATGCATAATAGAATACTGTTCAACTATAAAAAAGAATGAAATTCTGTCGTTGGCAGCAACATGAATGGAACTGGAAATCATGTTAAGTGAAATAAACCCGGCACAAAAGACAAACATTGCATATTCTCACTCATATGTGGCAGCTAAAAAAGTTGATCTCATGGAGGTAGAGAGTAGAATGAAGGTTACCAGAGGCTGCAAAGAATCAAGGGGGAATAAAAAGAGGTTGATTAATGGGTAAAAACATACAGTTAGATCGAAGGAGTGAGTTCTAGTGCTTCATAGCAAAGTAGAGTGAATGATAGTTAAAAACAATATATTGTATATTTCAAAATAATTGGAAGAGATTTGAAATATTCCAACATAAAGAAATAAAATGTGTGAGGTGATGGATATCCTAAATACCCTGATTTGATTATTACACATTGTATGCATGTATCAAAATATCACATGTACCCCATAAATATGTACAAAAATTATGTATTAATAAACAAAAACAAGAAATATAAAAAAAATTATCATTTGGGGCACAAGAGAAAAGATTGAAGAAAAATGAACTGAGCCTAAGAGACCTGTGGGATGCCATTAAATGAACCAAAACAAGCATGGTAGGAGTCTCAGGAGAAGAGAGAAGAAATAGTCAAAGAAAAAAAATATCTGAAGAAATTATGACTGAAATCTTCCCAAATTTGATGAAAGTCATGGATATAAACATCTAAAATAATTGATGGACTCCAAGTAAGATAAATTCAAAAAAGATCCACATCAAGACATTATAACTGAACTTTTGAAAGACAAAGAATCTTGAAACCGCCGAGAGAAAAGCAACTAATCACATGCAAGTTATTCTCAAGAAGATTATTCGCAGATTTCTCATCAGAAACTCTGGAGGCCAGAAGGCAGTGGGGTGATATATTCAAAGTGCCAAAAGAAAATAACCATCACCAAGTATCCTATATTCAGCAAAACTGTCTTTCCCACATGAAAAAGAAAGTAAGACATCCCCAGATAAATAAAAGCTGAGACAGTATGTTACTGCTAAATCTGCCCCACAAGAAATACAAAAGGGAAACCCACAGGGTGAAATGAAAGGATGCTAGACAGTAACTTGAAGCCATGTGAAGAATTAAAAATTTCAATTAAGTTAATGCATAGGCAATTATAAAAGCTAATATTATTATAACAACTGTTTGTAATTCCACATTTTGTTTTCTACATAATTTAAGACACTAACACATTTTAAAGGATTGTTAGTTTATGCTTTTAGGCACACAATGTAGATACACATAATCTTTTAACATTAGCAAACGAAAAGTGTGGAGACAGAGCTTTATACACAATGTATAAAGACATAATCTTGTGAAATTAATAGCCAAAAGGGGAGGAGCAGAGTTCATGCATGTTATTGAAGTTAAACTGCTATAAATTCAAATTAGAGTGTTAAGACTCTAGTATGTTAAATTTAACCCCCATGATAACCACAAAAAAAAACTGTAGAATACATAAAAAAGGAAATGAGAAAGAAATTTAAGCATTTCTTTTACGAAATAATCAAAAGACACTAATGCAGAAGTGAGGGATAAAAAGCTATAAGGCATATAGAAAATAGCAAAATGAGTAAAGTAAGTCCTTTTTTATTGATAATTACTTTAAATATAAATGGATTAAACTCTCCAATCAAAAGACAGAGATTGGTGAATCTATTTTTAAAAATATAATCCAACTACATGCTATCCACAAGAGACTCACTTTAGATTCAAAGACATAAATACATTACAAGTAAAAGAATAGGAAAAGATATTCTACATAAATCATAATAGTATGATGGTGATAGTTGTACAACATTATAAGTATATTTAATACCATTGAAGTATACACTTAAAAATTGTTCAGATGGTAAATTTTATGTTATACATATTTTATCACAAAAAAATAAGGAAAAAAAATCAACGGTCCAGGTTCTACTTCTGGCATGACAGCTTGGGGTTCTCTGTTGACCTGCTCTCTAGCAAAACTGGCGAAAATATTTTTTAAATAATTTTTTTTTTCAGACAGAGTCTTGCTCTGCCACCCAAGCTGGAGTGCAGTGGCACGATCTCGGCTCACTGCAAGCTCCACCTCCCGGGTTCACGCCATTCTTCTGCCTCAGCCTCCCGAGTAGCTGGGACTACAGGTGCCCGCCACCATGCCCGGCTAACTTTTTGTATTTTTAGTAGAGACGGGGTTTCACCGCGTTAGCCAGGATGGTCTCAATCTCCTGACCTCGTGATCCGCCCGCCTCGGCCTCCCAAAGTGCTGGAATTACAGGCGTGAGCCACTGCGCCTGGCCAAATAAATTTTAAGTCTCTAGAAATGGCCCTAAGAGCATACAGCAAATTAAAAAAAATTATTCAAGAAAATGTACTAAAATTTGGTAAGAAGAATAAAAGTGTGTGGTATATGAGCCAAGACTCAGTTTCTCCCTTCTTGCCCCCAACTTAGCAAGACAAAATCTCCACTCCTGGCTGCTACAGCCAGGAATATGAGGTTCCCTCTCACTCCAGATCCCAGTCAGGGGACTGTCTTTCTGCAGTGAGCAAGAAATCAAATTTCTCATCCTGCCACTAGCTACCTGTTGGTGAGGCTAACTACTGGCTGGGTGCAGCTAAGAAGTGGGTGCTCCCTTTTTCTACCCAACGCTAAACTAGGAGACAGAGGATCTAACTTAAGCATGGTACTGCTGACAGTACTGGAGTCTGATCCAAGTGGCTCACAGTTTGGGGATTCCACACCAGGAGACCCAGGAGTGCTGCACTTCCCTATACCAAGCACTTAGCTCCTAAGAGTGAGAGTGTCACTCAAAGGGAAGCACACCATTGTCCCTGCTCCCAGTACCAGACAAGTGACTCAAAGTTTTTTTTTGTTTTTTTTTTTTTTTGAGACGGAGTCTCGCTCTGTCCACCCAGGCTGGAGTGCAGTGGCGTGATCTCAGCTCACTGCAAGCTCCGCCTCCCTGGTTCATGTCATTCTGCCTCAGCCTCCCTAATAGCTGGACTACAGGCGCCCGCCACTACGCCCAGCTAATTTTTTTGTATTTTTAGTAGAGATGGGGTTTCACCGTGTTAGCCAGGGTGGTCTCGATCTCCTGACCTGGTGATCTGCCCGCCTCGGCCTCCCAAAATGCTGGGATTACAGGCATGAGCCACCGCGCCCGGCCAAGTGCCTCAAAGATTTTGTCTAGGGGAAATATCAGGCCTTAGAAGAGAAAGGTCTGAACCTCTCCCCCAGAGAACTGACTTCATGTGAAACAAGATGTGGAGAAGTTCAAACCTAAGGACATACTGTAAATTAACGGAGATTGTGATGATAGCCAATTGAGAGGAAACTGATAGATTCACTAGAGCTATAAGCTAAACCGCAGGCTGGCTAGTTTTCCAGAGATAAATGAGGAAAGAGACAGATGAAGACATCTTGGGGTAGGAACAAATCTCAAAACACTGGCTTTAGGAGCTATCCGTTCAAAAGAACACAAATTTGACCGGATCCATTTGCGGAGCAACTTATGCAACGGAGAATTATTGAAAACAATAGAGCAATCATCTAGGTAATTAGGGAAACTTAGCAGCTGGGTGTGGCCAGAGAAAAAGACTGTTAAAAAGAACTCTCAGAAGAAAACAGGTGTTTTCTTCACCAGTAATATTCATTACTTCAGAATGAGCAATGTATTCTTAGATATGACACCAAAACCACGGGCAACAAAAGAAAAAATAGCCAAACTGGACTTCATCAAAATTAAAAAATATTTCTGCTTTAAAAGACTATAGTATCAAGAAAGTAAAAATATATCACACAAAATTAGAGAAAACATTTGCAAATGATGTATCTAGTAAGGGATTAGTATCCAAAATACATAAAAACTTCTAAAACAATTATAAAAAGATAATAATATTATTTTAAAATGGGCAAAGAGTTTTAATAGGCATTTCTCCAAAGAAGGTATACAAATGACTGATAACCACATAAAAAGATGTTCAACATCATTAGATTACATAAATGCAAATTAAAACCCCAAGACACCACTTCGCACCCACCAGAGTGGCATAATTTTAAAAATCAGATAATAACAAGTGTTGATGAAGATATAGAGAAATCAGAACCTTCATACACTGTTGGTAGCAATGTAGAGTGGGCAATCACTTTGGAAAACAGTCCGGCAGTCCCTCAAAACATTACAGATAGAGTTATCATATGATCCAGCAATTCCACTTTTTGACACATACCCAAGGGAAATGAAAATATATGTCCACGCAAAAACCTGTACACAAATGTTTATAGCATCACTATTTATAATAGCCAAAAAATTAAGAAACAACCCAAATAATCATCAAATTGTGAATAGTGTTAGAAAATAAACGGAGGCACATTATAATTTTTAGGAGTTTATATGAGCAAACAACAATTCATGAATCAGCACCAAACTTAAAACTGAAAGTGGTATGGGGCTCCACTAGATGCATCTGAAGGGAAGTCATTTATAGGGGGAATGCAGAAGAGCAAAAAAATTATTTGATTCATTAAAGTTAAGCTATTGCCTTATTTGCATTATCCAGGTGGAAAGTCTTGATTGTATAATTAATGCTCAGTTGGTCATTTATGACTGGCCAAGCTTAAGTTTTGTTTATGTAGGAACCCATAGCCTTGGAATCATCTCAGCCTAATGGCATCCCATTAAGTTATTTCGACAATGGATAAACAACATGTTATCTATTCATACAATGAAACATTTGGCCATAAAAAGGAATGATATACTGATACATGCTATAACACTGATGGACCTTAAAAACATTGTAGTAAGTGGAAGAAGCCAGTCACAGAAGATCGTATATTATATTATTCCATTTATATGAAATGTCCAAATTAGGCAAATGTACAGAGAGCAAAAGTAGATCAGTGCTTACTTAGGACTAGAGAGGATAGATGGGTAGAGGGTGATAGCTAAAGTCTACAAGGTTGTTTTTGTGATTATGAAAATGTTCTAATATTGACTGTGGTGATGCTTGCACATACATCTGTAGATAGTCTAAAATTCTTGATTTGCACCCTCTAAATGGATGAAGAGTATGGCATGTGAATTTTATCTTAGTAAATATAAAATTTCAAAATATATAGGATGGGCGTGGTGGCTCATGCCTGTAATCCCAGCACTTTGGGAGACCGAGGCAGGCGGATAACCTGAGGTCAGGAGTTCAAGACCAGACTGGCCAACATGGTGAAACCCTGTCTCTACTAAAAATACAAAAATTAGCCAGGTGTGGTGGCACACGCCTGTAATCCCAGCTACTTGGGAGGCTGAGGCAGGAGAATTGATTGAGCCCCAGAGACAGAGGTTGCAGTGAGCCGAGAACGTGCCACTGCACTCCAGCCTGGGTGACAGACTGAGACTCCATCTCAAAAAAAAAACATATATATATATTACATATATATACACACACACATATATACATATGTATATATATGTAAAATATATATATACACACACATATATACACACATATATACATATGTATATATGTAAAATATATATACACATATATACATATGTATATATGTAAAATATATATATACACATATATACATATGTATATATGTAAAATATATATATACACACATATATACATATGTATATATGTATTATAAAATATCTCGAAAATCAATGGCTCTTTATGTATGCACTCATATAGATATAAGAGTATATATATATACTCTTATATATATATGAGAAGATGGATAGATAGACCTTCTAAGTAGTCGTTTTTATCTTAAGTCATGTTCCCTAAAAATAGTCTTGGATTCAAGTAGATTATAATGTATTGAGGGAGTGCTCTTCAGGAAATCATTTAAGGGAGTGAGGACTATAGTTAAGAAAGAGGAAAGGGTCAAGCAAAGACAAAATCTAGCTTTGGCTTGATTTATCAGAGCTCTGGAGCCTAAATTGCCCCTGCAGAATCGTCTCCACTTTGAATCAAGACAGCTGGTCTTATGTACACCCACGTTAGTCAGTCTTTGGCTGCAGGTGCCTGTAGCAGCTGGAGTTGTAGCCTTTTTTGGCAAGTAGGTTCCATTATCTGAGAGCAGGTATCTATCTGGTGAAAAAGGGCAGCTGTGAGTCACTTGCAGCCAAAACACAACAGCTGGGGGATGAGTGCACTGGTCTCAGAAAGGAGGTCTGAGCAGGGCATCACCCAAGCCTATAAGATACCTCAAAGGAATACTCATGAAGACTGGAAAATATTTAGCAGATATAATTCATTACAATATTGTCTGTAATAACAAGAACTACATTTCATTGAATCAAAATTTGTAAGGTACATGTTTTATTCATCTAGTAGGATGTCAGTAGTCATTAAAGACATGGTAGAAGACCATTTAGAAAAAATGGAAATAAATTTCAGAAATATTGTGAGATGAACAGACTATAAAAGTATGAACACAAAAGTTTCATCTTGATAAATATAGCAGTATATATGTTTTGCACACATTCTTTCCCTCTTGGGAAAGATGTATGTGAAAATTTAAATAGTAGTTACTGCTCAGTGGCAGGATTATGGCTATTTTTATTTTCTACATTTTTTTATCTATTTATTCAATATTGCTTTTGTTTTGTGTGTATGTGTTTTGGGATTTTGTCTTTTGTGTTTTCTGAGACAGGGTCTCACTTCAGGCTGGTCTGAAACTCTTGGCCCAAAGTGATCTTCTTGCCTCAGACTCTCAAGTAGCTGGGATTACAGGTGTGCATCACCACACCTGTCTGTACTGCTTTGGAGTAATAAAGAAGTGATTTCAAATATTATACATTAATGAGTTAATTCTCAAATTGGAACTAAAATAATGCAACCATACTCAAATAATACAAGGCTAAAGAGTAAGACTCTAAGAAAGAATGTGTTTTTGGAGAGGTTACTATCCCAGTGTGTGGTCTTCTACTTTGCACATTTAATTTGTCATTACACCTAGAGCTCGTCGGATTGGTGGTCACTGACCAACAAGAGATGAACTTATAGATCAAAATATTTGTGTAGTAATTTTCAATGGAGTGACCATACATGCCAGCAACCATTCCATTCATTACTTATTCATAGCCCTGTGTTCCCAAGGTCAGGTACCTGAGAAGACATGTAAGTCAACAGAAGGCTATTTGGTGAGTATACAGAGCAGATAATCCAGAGAAATATTTCATCCACTTCACACTGAGGCCTGAAAAATCACATTAGACACCCCAGAGCCCCCTTCTTGCTGCTCCAGTCCAGCAGTCCTGACCACATCTGATAGGATGAAGAATGTGCACCTCTAGCCTCAGGAGCATTATTCCACACGCTGGTTAGATGTTTTGGTGTGATCTGGAGCAAAAAGGTGAGTTGATCCAAGTTGTCTCTCTTGGAAATTTAAATTAGGTATTCCTAATATAATGAGGATGCTAATGTGAACAGAGGCTGGAACAAAGCCATGAAATCTTGTCAGGGCCATGCTGTGTCACGGAAAGCCAATATTATGAGACTGAAAAAAAAACCCCACTGAGAGAAACAAGACACCATGAGCTGAGAGACCACGTGGCAGCCCATGAGGATGCAGAGAGTCACTTTAAGTCTCTAAAGTGACCTCTGTTCTTGACCGCTTCCCTTTATCAGTTCACAGACATCCTCATATAAACCTGACGTGAGCAGAATCTTGAGAGAACCTCAGTTCCTTATACCAAAAGAAATTGACACATGCACGACCCCTCACTCACCACCCAGTAACCAGAAGGCTACATATTCAGTATCTCTTAGGGACCAATTTAGATTGGTCCCCAATAAATAACTCCGAATAAAAGGGGTTAAAGGATGTGGGTTTTTTTTTTTTCTTTTTCAGTGTGCTTCTTTGAATAATGATAATCTTCCCACACTAGATGATAAGATTCCTGAGGGCAGGCAACTCATCTCGTTTTACACACCAGTGTAGAACCCCCA
Source organism: Homo sapiens (assembly GCF_000001405.40). Lineage (NCBI taxonomy): Eukaryota > Metazoa > Chordata > Mammalia > Primates > Hominidae > Homo > Homo sapiens. Next base: position 63,090,937 of record NC_000014.9, read on the forward strand.
TGGTGCCAGAACATAGGCCCTTCCGTAAATATATGTTGAATAGAAGAATCACCAAATCACTTTAGCATGTTTTATTTCTTTCATTTCCACAGCAGCCCAGTTAGCTATTTGAGAAATATTGGAGAAATAGCTCAGGGCTGCTGTGGAAATGAAAGAAATAAAACACTTGAACGTGATTTTTACAGTTTAAATTGCTCATTGCAATGCAGTTGTCTATTGGCCTACGTGATATTATAACAGTTTTATCTGAACTGTTAAAATCAAAAGTAGGAATAAAAGATAACTTTTACTGTTTCAATTTGTCCCTATAGTTGTACAAAGAATGAGAACCAAAAAAAAAAAACCTCCCTTAGCTACAATGTGCTAAGCCATTATTGTTATTCTAATTTAATATTCCTATCAACCACATTAAATAATATTACATTCTCACTTTACAGACAAAATCCAAGCTGTAGAGGAGTTATATAGCTATAAAGGGATGAAGCCAGGATTCAAACGTAGGTCAGATTCTGAATTTGTGCTATTTTCATTTATTCTGTGCTATTTACAGGGATCGCAGAGATTGTCCAAATCACCTTTTGGTTTTACATACAGGGAAATTTAAAGGAGTTAAAACAGAACCTATGATTTCCGACTCTTTGGGAGTTATAGTGTAATATAGGTAACACTGTTCCCCTGCTGGTGAAAAAATATAAGCACACTAGGATTTCTAGCAGCAGAGAGAGAGGAGAGGGGAGCGGAGGGGAGCGGAGGGGAGGGGAGGGGAGGGGAGAGGAGAGGAGAGGGGAGGAGAGGAGAGGAGAGGAGAGGGGAGGAGAGGAGAGGGGAGGAGAGGAGAGGAGAGGACAAAGAGGCTAAGGGCTAAAGCCAGGATCATGTCTTATTGGAGTCACTGCAAATATCAAGACCCTTGATTTCTCCTCTAAATATTCATACATTCCATTTTACCACAGTGGAAAAATAACTTATTATCTAGTGATAATAATCATTATCTAGTGTTAGTTTTTCTTATGTTATACATGAATGGATGAATAGAAGGATCAATGAATCTACCTCTCTATCTATACGCATGTAATTTCCACTGTAGAGGAAATTACTACACTTTATGTAATCAATTTCCTCCTCATTCAAGCAAAGTCAGACTTGTAAGAATTTTGTAGAGTTCACTAAAGCCACATATTGTCCAGGTTATTTTATCTATTACCACCTTACTGATTTACAGCCATTAAAAAATAAAAAAAAAATTAAAAAAAAAGCCTTTATTTCCCAAGTCTCAGTTCATCTGGGGAGTTAAACTGTAACATCTGAGTCAGCCATGAAAAGGCCTAATCCTGCCATTGTTCTGCACTTACAATTTCTATTTCTGTCAAGGGAGGTAGAAGTGCAGGTCCTGTAGTCTTCTATCCTGACTGTTGATTTCTAAAACTGTCTGTAGCTACACTATTGGCTTCATCTCATGCTGATTACATGTACTTTAGGGCCCATAGTGATTAAAAGTCAAACCAACAGGACAACTTTGGTACTGAATTTCCTAAACAGAGTTTTCTACATTCCAGTTTGCTTTCTGTAGCAATGATACCTTTGCACTAGATGTCTGTGGAGGGAAACATCCAAATGTGACGTCTCTGCTTCCCAAGTCATATGAAAGGGATCATGTTCATGTTGACTAAGCAGTGCAGTCAAATGCTAGACCATGTCCATGTTTAGGTTCAGCAACTGTAGTCTCTACATGTACTGGAATTCAGAGATTTCTCAAACCTTCACTTGCAAGTTGGCAGGCTATAATTAAATACACACACACACACGTGCACATACAATAGATTTACGCATACTGTGGCACTTTACTGTAACTTGATGATTTCTTTAAAACATTCTTACTGCCATCTGGCATAGTAGAAAGAGCATAAATTTCAGAATCTTCAGAGTATGATACTGTAAAATATATATTTGGTCTTTGTCCCCATTTCCTGACATACATCTCCTAAAATCTTTGGAATCTACAAAGTAATAAGGGTGTCTTTTGTATACTAATGAGCCAACTGGTGGCTGGGGGACCCTGGATGACTTCAGAAAGACTAAGACATGATTAGAGGTTTGGGACTTTCAGCTGCACCCCTTCACCCCCTCCACAGAGAGGAGATCGGCTGAAGTTTGAGTTGATCACCAATGGCCAATGATTTGATCAATCATACCTATGTAATGAAGCTCCCATTAAAACCCAGAAGGACTACATTCTGAGAGCTTCTGGATAGCTGAACACATGGAGGGTTTTGGAGGGTATCACACCCAGGGAGGGCATGGAAGCTCCATACCCCTGCCCACATGCCTCACCCTATGTATGCATCTCTTCCGTCTGGCTATTCATCTGTATCTTTTGTAATATCATCTATAATAAGTAAGAAAATGTGTTCCCCTGAGTTCTATGAGACACTCCAGCAAATTAATCAAACCTAAGGAGGGAATTGTGGGAACACTGATGTATATAGCCAGCTAGTCAGAAGTACAGGTCATAACCTGTGCTTGCAGTCGGCATCTGAAGTGGGGGGCAGTCCTGTGAAATGGAGGCATCAATCTGTGGGATGTGACACTATATCCAGGTAGATGGTGTCAGAACTGAACTGAATTTGAGGGCATCCTGCTAGTGTGTCCTGGGGAATTTGCCAGAGAATTGCTTAGCATGGGGACAGCTGGTGTCGGACGTGCTCTGTGTTGGTTGTGTAAGAATAGAGACTAAAGAAAGAAAAAACATTTTGGTTTGGTTTATCATATATCCCTTTAGCCCCACCTCTAAATTCAAATCTAAGTTTTGTCATCTACTATTTTGTTTACTTTTGAGCTGGAACAACTTCATAAACCTCTCTGCTCCTTGTTATTTTTTTTTCACTTGTAAAATGAAGACAGTAATGGTATTGCCTCATAATATTACTCTATGGATTAAACAAGATAATCTAGATAATACACCTAGCACAGCACCTAGCAGCTACTCAATAAATGTTAGGCCCCTTCATCTAAAGAGAATGGAAGGCACTATTAAGTTCACAAAGGTTGAGCTTTGCAAGGGTAAGTAGGCCACCAACTTGTATTTGAAAAAGTACTGAAGAATATATAGACAAAAACATACAGCAAGTGCCTGGAAAACCATCTAGAATATTTAGAAACCCAGAATAAAATTATCCAAAATTGAAATAACCTCTGGCTGTCTTCCTATGAAGATGAATTATAAGTTTCAGTTGAAAATATATCTTTCTTAGGAATTTATCTCTGAAATATTTGCTTTAAGGCATGGATTTAAAGAGTTTATATTTAATCAACTTGAAACATGCAGCATAAGCCCCTCTCAAATTCAAACAGGAACACATGGAATTTATCTGTAAACATTCTTATAGATAGATCAAAGGAAGAAGCTATTCTACAAAGTCACAATATTGAAAATAAAAGAAAACTGAGAAAGAATATGATGGTGCCTTTAAGTGTTTCATTTTCCAGTTAAGTATGACATTCTTTAGGGGATCATGTAATTATCAAGCCAGGCAGTGTCTCCAGGCTATTGTGAATCTTTTTGCACTCAGGCCTGAACTGACTGAAACCATGTCAAATAGCTGGGGCCTCTATCATTTTGAAAGAGTGCTGTTACAACTTCTAGAGGTTCACAAATTTAATTCATAGCAACAAAAGTCACAGAACAAGCTCCCTGAAAATCATCTGAAATAGGTTGAAGTCAACTGAACAAAATAAAGCCAGTACTGGTATAGGCATATTTTAAAAGCCATTTTTCCTATAAACAGATTCAAGGATTATACCACATTTAACTTTCCAGACAGATGACTGGCTTTGGTCTTCAGGGTGCTTTCTTTATAGCAGTGGTCACCGACCTTTTTGGCACCGGGGACTGGTTTCGTTTCGTGCAAGACAATTTTCCTATGGAGGAGAGGTGGTTGGTTTTGGAATGAAACTGTTCCACTTCAATCATCAGGCATTAGTTAGAGTCTCATAAGGAGCACACACCTTAGATTCCTCGCAGGCACAGTTCACAATGGGGTTGTGCTCCTATGAGAATCAAACACTGCCACTGATGGCATGGAGGCAGAGCTCAGGTGGTAATGCTGCTGGCTCGCCACTCACCTCCTGCCGTGCAGCCTGGCTCCTAACAGGCCACAGACTGGTACTGGTCCATGGCCCGGGGATTAGGGACCCCTGCTTTATAGAATGGTCACAGATAAGGACAAATATGCTACCTGGAGGACCATCTGAATCACACAAACTACAAATATGGAAGCCAAGGAGTGGTAAGATGATAGTCTGCAACACTATCTTAAGTCTAAACTGGAGTCTTGACGATAGAACAACTTAAATCAGATAAATTCCATAAAAGTAAACAAATTGTTGGCATGACAGTCAATTATGAAGAAAGACATTTCAAAGATCTGAACACACTGAAAAGACTGACACACCAGAGACTGGTCCCGGGTATGTGATGTAGCATCGAGGTTTCTCTTTCTTTCCACCCTTCATTGGTAGATATAACCCTGAGAAATAAAAAGGAAGCTAACTGTGGAAGCTAAATGTTTAAAAAAAAATTGCTTTTACATTGTGAATTTTGATACAACGATTCCATTGAGTCCAAGTAGAGATGTTCTAAAAAAATTCAGAGTATTCAGAAAGTGATAGAAATATTTCTCCAATAATAATTATTATTTTAATAATCATTTAATATGAATAATTAAAACAACTTATATCTGTATTTTGCACCCCATTTGAAAACCTACTTTAACATTCATAATCTCCCTCAAGCTTTCCAAAAACTCCATGTGTTAAGCATGATGATTCCCATTTTACAGATGAGGAAATGGAAGCACAAGGAATTAAACTTGACCAGGACAACACAGCCCAGCAGACCTTTGATGTTTTCTAGCCTCACAAAAATATCTGAATGACATAGATTTTATTTATATATATATATATAAAACAATTTCATTTAATAATATAGCATAGAAATAAAATCACAAATATACACACAAAAGTGTAATAGAAGTAGAACACTCTCATCAGTTCTTTGGGGGAAAAGTGGCCATATAAGGCCACAGAATAATTATTATTATTCGTTAAGGGAAAATAATTATTCTCTGGGGATATTGAATTTATTCTAATATTAATACAGCTTTAAAAAACCCAAAGAATTGTTTATTGTGTGGAAGCAGTGCGGATTATACATAAGCTAGGAACCTCTGGGAAGTATGTTTGTCTTGGTATATGGCTTTTTATTTTTTTTTAATTCATTGTTTTTGTTTGGCCCAGTAATTACACTTTGAAGTTCCATAGTACAGAGAAGATGTAGCAAGAAAGCGGATTTGAATAGGTTTTTCATTGTTTCTCATAAAGACATGATTTGTAGTTACACTGTTTTCTTTTACGGTGTTTTCACATGACCAAATCCTCCCTTCCAGAAAAGAAACAAAATCAGCCAAATTGCCAACATTCTTCACCTCTGCCACCACTCAAGACAGCTTATTTGCATGTTACAGTGAAGGCTCTTATTCGCTCTTTTTCTCCGGAGCCTTATCTTGAATCTAGACTATTTCATTGAAATCTTAAAATAAAAAGATGTAATATCTCTAGCTCTATTATTTTGATAATGACCATCCTATAGAATTTAGTGCACACTTGACACTTTGTTCTTTTCTCAAATCACACTGTAAAACAACCTGAAAGGTTTTTTTCTAATTATTCATTTAACAACTGATAAAACATCTCTCTAGTAGAAAGAATATGCACCTAGTGGAATTTCTCCTTATCTACAATTAAAGTCACCCTCCATTGCTAAACAATGTAACCAAGATTCTGCAATACTAAGTAGACTCTTCAGATTCAAAGGACCCATTTGAAAAATTAAATTCTCTAATACAGCCTGAGTAACACCTGAGCAGAAGCGGAGATGCAAAGAAAAGAACATTTCTAAAGGGAGCTGGGGGAAAGGAAGACACAAAGTGTTGGTTTTCTCATCTTTGAACTGAGCCTTAGAGATGCCCACATGCCAGGAAGAAACCAACAAAACACAGAAAAGCAAAAACCAGGAGAAATCTCTAGGAAGATAGAATCTGGGACCCAGGAGTGGTAGGAAATGGCAGCCAAGAGCACAAGAAAGTCAGGCACTATGGATAGGAAAAAGGCTGTGAGAACCTATTTCCCTCCAGACATGTTCTGGATGTTCAATCAGTAGGACCACCTTGGGAATAGCCAGCTGCACTAGCAAGCCAATAACTCCAGGATGGGCCAATCTCTCATCACCACTCCCCCAAACTGTATAGCCTCCTAATTACAGCTGTGGGAGGCATCTGTTAGAAAAGAGTAGCGCCTGAGTCGAAGGTACAGGGAGGTTCCCTGAGGGGCAGGATAAATTGGGATGGCTTCAGGCAGAGGAAAACAAACGGAATTGTTAATATCAGAATGTACTGAAGAATTTCTCTACCCTGAGGCATACCCTTCTCAATGTAACCAGAAGAGAAATAATAAAGAGGAGAAATTAGCGTAATAAAAACAAAAAAGAGCCAGGTGTGGTGGCTCATGCCTATAATCCCAGCACTTTGGGAGGCGAAGACGGGCAGATCACTTGAGGTCATGAGTTCAATACCAGCCTGACCAACATGGTGAAACCCCATCTCTACTAAAAATACAAAAATTAGCTGGGCACGGTGGCAGGTGCCTGTAATCCCAGCTCAGGAGGCTGAGGGAGGAGAATCGCTTGAACCCAGGAGGCGGAGGTTGCAGTGAGCTAAGATCGCACCACTGCACTCCAGCCTGGGTGACAGAGCAAGACTCCATCTCAAAAAAAAAAAGATAAAGATAAATCAATGAAACCAAAAGTCAGTCAATAAAATTAATGTATTTCTAGTCAGCCTGATCAAGAACATAAGAGAGAAAACTATCCCTATCAGGATTGAGAAAGGGAATATAACCACAGTTCCTACCCACATTTAAAAGATAATATGTGGATATTGTAAACAATTTATGCCAATAACTGAAAACTTAGATCAAATGGTTGAATTACTTGAAAGACACACACTTCCAAAGTTCATCCAAGAATAATCTGAATAACTTAATATTTATTATCTACTGAATTTGTACTTCAACATTTTCCCCGTAAAGAAAACTCCAGACACAAAGGAATTTACTGGTGGGCTGTGCCAAATATTTATGGAAGAAATAATCACAAATTCTTCCAGAAAAATAGCTGAAAAAGGAACACTTCCTAAGTCATTCTATGAGGCCAACATTAGCATGATATCAAACCAAACAATGCAAGAAATGGAAATTATAGACTAATATTCCTCATTAGCATAAATGCAAAAAACTCATAAAATTTTAACTAGTTGATTGCAACAATATAGAAAAAGGAAAGGACATCATGACCATGTAGCATTGTTCACAGAAATGCAAAGATGGTTTAATGTCTGAAAATCAATAACTTCAATTCACTGTACAGGCTGAGTATCCCTTATCCAAAATGCTTGGGTTCAGAAGTGTTTTGGATTTCACTTTTTTCTTTTTTTTTTTTTTGAATTTTGAAATATTTACAGGTACATAATGAGATATCTTGGGGATGGGACCCAAGTCTAAACATAAAATTTATTTACGTTTCAAAAACACCTTATACACATAGGCTGAAGGTAAATTTATACAATATTTTTAATAGTTTGGGCAAGAAATAAAGTTTGTGTTAAGTACTTATGTGTGGAATTTTCCACTTGGGGCAGGGCATCATTGTTGGCACTCAAAAAAGTTGCAGATTTTGGAGCATTTGGGATTTGGGATTTTCGGATTAAGGATGCTTAACTTGTATTAACAGAATAAAAAGGGAAAACCATATGATCAACTCATTAGGTGCTAAAACAAATTTACAAAATTCAATATTAATTTGTGATAAAAACTCTCAGCAAACTAATAGAGAAGAGAACTTTAACCTGAAAAAGAACATATATGTTAAGCATGTAGGCAAAATCATAATTAATGGTGAAATTCTGAATGTTTTTATCTCTTCCTCTAAGATTTTAAGTAAGTAATGAATATCTGCTCTCACCACTTCTACTCAACATTGCACTAGAGGACCTAACAAGTGAAATAAGTTTTAAAATAAATACAGATTAGAAAGGAAAATTTAAAACTGTCTTTTAATTACAGAAAACATGATCATGTGTGTAGAAAATCCTAAGGAATCATTGTCCCTAATTCACAGGTGAGGAGTCAAACATTTTTTAAAGTCTTAAAATCTGCTCAGAGTCACACAGATTCTATATTTTCATATCCAATATTCAAACCCAGGTCAGGGTGGCTCCAAAGATTATCCTCCAAATATGATCTTCACTACCTTTTCTAGAATTCCCTTTGGGAATGCTAACAAGCAGGTATGACAGCCAAGTGTAACTCAGATGCACTTTGAGATTAGGAAGTCACCTTCTTGATCACCATCTCCCACTCAGTGTTACCTTGCCCATACTCCCCAGGGATTCTCCATATCTGAGGTAGGATGGGGAAAGACAGATCATAAAAGAGGTTGCCTTTGTCTTTTCTAGTCACACTCACTCTGCCCTTCCAATTCTGTATCAGAATAAACGTGACCCCTTTTCTTTGATTTCTACACAAAACACAAGGCAGGAAGGTTGAGTAGTGTACTGTGTGAAAAACAAAATATAAACAGTAGGTATTCCCTAAAGACTTCATGCTTTGCTTCTCAAGCTGTCCTCTGGAAATTCAATTCCCCTATTTAATTTGCAGAACACTGTAACTCTATGCTACCTATGGCTTGGCTTGAGTGTATCACTGCTGTTCTAGGGCTCATTAATGTGCTTTGCTGAACAATGGATCAGCTTCTCTAGGTTCCCTGATGTAGCTGTCCAGAAGAGCAGGAGAGAGCCCCACTTTCTTCTTTGTCCTTTTTTCTCCCCCATTAGAGGTTTATTTCTCTCACCTATATAAATTGTTCTACGTACTTTAAAAGTCTAATGTTGTTCATTATAGTTTGTTTTATTTTTTTAAAAAAAGACTTTTACTACTAATAATACCTTAATTACTTATACTTTAATCACCGATAACCTACTAATAGGGTAATTACACAGAAAACATCAGTCTCTTTGAATGGAGGTAGCAAGAGATGCTCTTACTAATTAATTCTCTGGGGTGCTAGCAAGCCAGTATAGTGCTTAGGTTATAATGTTTTGGAGGAAAAGTATCATATTCATCCTAGACCCTGCTATTAATATACTCTCAGGTTAATACTTTCCCACAAAAGCTTTAGCAATAACAATTTAGTAACGAAGAGGCTAGTCTATGTTTTAGCCACACTGGATGAGTGGCAGTTCCAGAACTTCAATTCTAGAGCCACCACAGGTAGTAGGAGGGCCCTGGGTTGTGAGGCCAGCTCAGAGGTGTGGCTGGAAACTGCCCAGACCCTCACTTGCAAGTTACAAAGAAAACCAGGGAAGGAAAATGAGCTCCTTTGAAGCAGAGAGAGGGAAGAGAAGAGCATAGGGCAGAGCCTTGGAATGCACTATTTCCGCAACGCAGAAAAAGCTAAGAACATTTCTACCATTTTTTAAAGAAAGGACTTAAGTGGTTCCTAAAACTGAGATCAATGTTTTACATAAGTTCAGCATTTGTGGCTGCTGGAATTTTTATATCTGATTTCTGCTTTCCTCCAAACGATAGTCTCAGAACATTTTCTGAAATCTCAGAGGTAAAAGATCAAGGCAAGCCAGGACCTCCAGCATTTGTTAAAATGTTTTGTGTAATCCATTTGGTTTATTCTGCTCCAGGGCAGGCTCATTTTAATCCTCATATGCAGTCCATTGTGACCCTTCTGCCCACAAAGATAAGAGGAGTAAAGCTTTTACAATAATGTAATATCATATCTGGAAAGGATTCCACAAATCCTGTGGTAAGATTGCAATGAAAAATCCAATTTAGCAAAAGCTTTACACACAGACATGCACACATACAATGCAGTATACCTCCAATCTCTGAAGCTCATGGTAGGGAGGGGTGGGCCAGGGGAGAGACAGAAACCTGTATTCTCAAAAACACACCACTTCAGAATGCAAGTCTTACTACTGCAAAAATTGTTTAATATACATCGAATAAGTTATTACATGAGTACTAAGATCTTTAGACTCTTTTTCCCATTTGTTCTGAATCTCAGACTAGCAAGATATAACTTTTTTGGTTTATCTTATAAATCTCAATTTTTTCTAGCAGAAATGTCTAGCTTTGACAAACCCAATTTTGCTTTCTGTTGCCCTTTAAGATATGTTGTTATGGTTTCAGAGAAAATTCCAAAATATTTCTGATTTTTAAGCTTACTGCTTTATGCTTAACAGTATTATCCAGATTTAATGGAGAATTAATAAACAAACACAAAACCAGTATGATGGTTTGCTAACCAACAGCAGTACAGTTAAAAGCAGTTTGCTTCCTCTGGGCAGATTTTGACCAACATTATCACAATGACCTTAGCCTATAACGGAAAGTGATCAGCTTCCCCCAAAGCAGCCGCCCAACTACCTGCTCAGGCTATTAATCTCTTTTCATTACCTACATTTTTAATCTACTTTGTGTGTGCTCCTTGTTTTTTGGGCAGGAAATGAGATGCAGCAGTAAAGCCGTGTCCACCAAAGAAGAAAAGAAAGTGCCGATGGTGTGTGGGGTGGGGGCGGAGGGTTGAAACGAGGACCTACCTTGCTTCCTGTGAGAGCTAGAGTTGTATAAAGAAAATCTCTTAGATAAAATTCTCTCTTGTCCTTGGAAAGAGCACACTGCTTACTCTATAGTTAATTCTTTCACGAAACCATTATTTGGTAACATAGTTAACCTTACCCTGATTAATCTGTTTCAAGTGTGAATCTTTATGTGTTGGATTTTGTTGGTGTCTTTCATTTGCTCAAAAATTCAGTCTTCGGCCGGGCGCGGTGGCTCACGCCTGTAATCCCAGCACTTTGGGAGGCCGAGGCGGGCAGATCACAAGGTCAGAAGATCCAGACCATCCTGGCTAACACGTGAAACTCCGTCTCTACTAAAAATACAAAAAAAAAAAAAAAAAAAAATAGCGTGACGTGGTGGTGGGTGCCTGTAGACCCAGACACTCGGGAGGCTGACGCAGGAGAATGGCGTGAACCCAGGAGGCGGAGCTTGCAGTGAGCTGAGATCGCGCCACTGCACTCCAGCCTGGGGGACAGAGCGAGACTACGTCTCAAAAAAAAAAAAAAATTCAGTCTTCATCTCTTTCTGATTCCACCACACCCTCTCCTGACAATTTCAGTCCTTTCCCCTTCTTTTGCACAGAAAACAAACTCACATATTCACAAAAGCTTTCTTTGTGCCTTTCATTCTTCACCCACCCTTCTTTGGAACATCTTAACTTTCCACGTATCCTGACTTTAAATTCCACTGGCTTCACATTCCACCTTGTACTGTAGTTATTAGTTGGAGTGTCTCATTTCCCCAACCAGATAATCATCTCAAAGGCCACAGCCCTTTGTATCATCCAGAGTGTACATAATAGGTTCTTAATCGTTATTTGTTGGATTTGAATTATTTTGTTTCTCTCATCATCACTCAAGCTTCTTCTGACATTTGTGCAAGCAAATGAAGTTACAACATAAAATCTAAAAACTCTGTGTAGCATGTAAGACTGATCATATAGTTGCCTCTGAATCAGCCTTTTTTCTAAGTATTAATCTCTCTCATCCACTCCCAACTACTAGCCCAACCCATATATATTTTAAGCCACGTTGATTAAATAACAATCTACTGTATTATTTTTAAAGACCTAATCGTGTCACCTTAGGCAGATTCCTTGTCTTCTCTATTATAAGTGTTTATTTCAGTGACTAATTATACTTAACTAATACTGGTTTCTTTTTTCATCTTGTAGTTCTCCAGACCAACACTATCTCATGCTTCTATGCTTTTGTACATTCCTCCCCTTCTTGGAATACTGCCCTGATTCCTGCTAACTCCCCTCTCATTCTAATGACTCTAAATTTAGAACTGTAACCCCAGATTCTCTCCTGACCCCAAAACCATACATCCAACTGTTTATTTGGCATCTCTGCCAAGAGACACTAAAAGTCTATGGCATTGGTCCAGATAAAATATTATAGTGGCCTGGATTAGGACTGTAGCTGTGAAGATGAGCAAAATAAGTAGAATTTGGGATGTACTTTGAGAGTTTTGTCAATAGGAGTGTCTGTGACATGTAGATGCAGGTTAGTTCACATTATTCAATGCCCAACATGAGACCTAGAGCACAGGCTCAATTCTCTGTTAACTTTGCTCCTTTTTATGGCTAAAGCTCTGGTGAAAGACTTCATAAGCATACATCTCGCAATCGCATGTATTTAGTTGTCAGGCACAGAAAGCTGGACTACAAATCACAAATCTGTTAACACTGATTCAGTATTAGATAATTTAAATTCTTTATCTCCTGATAGGCTTCTTATTTTTAAAAGATCCAGGCTTGCACCTCCACTTTCCTTCTTAAAATTTTCACTTGAAAGTCTCACAGTTATCTCATACTTAACATTTTCAAAACCAAATTCTTGTATCTTTTTTCTCTTTTTTTCTATTTATTTATCTTTATTTGGATAGTTTTAGGGGAACAGGTGGTGTTTGGTTGCATAGAAAAGTTCTTCAGTGGTGATTTCTGACATTTTGGTGCACTCATCACTTGACCAGTGTACACTGTACCCAATGTGTAGTCTTTCATCCCTCACCCCCTCCCACTTCCCCCCCCCACCCCGAGTTCCCAAAGTCCACTGTATCATTCTTATGCCTTTGTGTCCTCATAGCTTAACTCCCACTTATAAGTGACAACACAGGATGTTTGGTTTTCCATTCCTGAGTTACTTCACTTAGAATAATGGTCTCTAACTCCATCCAGGTTGCTACGAATGCCCTTATTTTGTTCCTTTTTATGGCTGAGTAGTATTCCATGCTTATCCACTTGTTGATGGATAGGCATTTAGGCTGGTTCTACATTTTTGCAATTGCAAATTGTGCCACTATAAACATGCATGTGGAATTCTTGTATCATATGCTACCCCAGTTTGCTTTTTCTCCAGTGTTCTTTATCTCAAAAATTGCACCATCTTCTACCCAGGGCCAGAAATTTAACAATTATCAGTTTAACAATTATCCTTCCCTTACTCCCCAGGTCCAATTGGTTGTGACATCCTAATAATTCTACCACCAAATTATAACTTGAAGTCACACAGTTATCTCCATTTCTGTGACTACCTCCTAGTTCAAACCAATGACATCTCTCACTGGACAATCGTAAATAACTGCTTTTATGCCTCTATCCTAGACTTTCTTCAGTGCATTTTCTACACAGAAGCCAGAGAGTCAATTTAAAAAATGCAAATCTGTAACATCTCCTTCATTTAGAATTCTTCAATTCTTTCCACCGTTTTTAGAATAAAGTTCAAAATCCTCAACCTTACCTACAACACCATGCACAGTTTTGCCTCCACCTCTCTCTAACTGAGCCTCATAACTCTCTCCCCCTTACTCACTATGCTCCAGACACACTAAGTTTCTCTCTGTTTTTACTACATTCCTTGATGACAGCTCCTTACCTGTGCTCTTCTCTACTGTATTCTCAGCACCTAGGTAACACTTTGCATATACATGTTCAATTAATATTTATTAAATGTATAAAAGAATGAATGGGTTTTCAGGATCATAACCTTTATGCCAGAAGAGGAGTTGAAACTATTATGATCCTTTCAGCTGCAAGTAATGGAAGATTCAACTAACAGAGGTCTGAACAATAAAGAATTTTATTGTATCAGACAACTAGAAGCCCAAGAATAGAGCAGCTTTGGGCCAGTTATTTCAGCTACTGAATAACATCTTCAAGACTCCAGCTTCTTCCCTTCTCTCTTCTGTGCCATTCTCAGTATGCAATGCCTCCCCTTATGGTCACAAGAAAGCTAGAACATTTCAGATATCATAGTCAATGATGACAGCCAACTAATAATAGGTGTGTTTTCCCCATGCAGCTATTTTCAATAATGAAAACAAAAAAAAGCCTTTCCAGAAACTTCTCAGAAGAATTACCCTCAGTTCTACACACCAAAAGTGAGTTACACGTTCTATTCATTCCTAAGCAAATCACTGACAAAGGAAATGAAACCACCACGACTGATGTAGACCAGTTATGCCTTGAAGCTGGGAAGTTCGCTTTTCTTAAGCAGTGAAAGGAAAACAAGGAAACCAAATCAGAACTTTGCCAACAATGAAAAGTCGAACAGTAGGGAGAAATGAGAAATGCAATTGACAAGAAAAAGACTATTAGACAACCAAGAGTGTCAGCCACAAAAGAACATCATTGTCATCATCATCATCATCATCATCATCAAAGTTCAAAAATAGTGTTGGCCAAAACACACTTCTCTATTTAAGTGAATTATTAGGACTTGAAATTATTTAAATAAAGACTTAAATAAAGACTTTAAATTAACTAAAGTTAATTCTAAAAACATGTGTTGAGATAGCATAATATTTCAGGGCATAGATTGTGGTTACATGTGGTTACACTTGACCCCACTTCAACCAAAACATCTATACTTATTTCTGTTTAAAATATTGAGACTCACAAAAATATTTCATTTGAAAAAAAGGGTTCTGGATTCTAGGTGAAGGTAACAGCTAATTAGAGAGAAATGCTCCAGCATTGAGAGAAGGCAGCAATCGCCCTGTTCTCCTCCTCTCTTTAACATCCCTTCTCCATCTGTTTGCGGCCTCCTCTTCTACCTGTTCTTTCAATGCTGATGTACTACAGTCTACTCTTTCCATACTTTTTGTCTCATGTGTTTTCTTTCTTCAGCTTCCACTACCAATTTTTTGCTAATAAATACAAACCTCTAAGCACTCCTCTCCTGAGCCTCAGATTTGAACTAGCAAAGATTCAATGGTTATCTCCAACTAAACATCCCACAAACACCCCCAAATTCACCTAGCTAAAAATTACACCCAGCACCTATTGCCTTCCCACACCCCATCTGTACTTGTTCTTCCCTGGGTGTTCCCAACATCAGTAAAATGTCTCCCCATCAACTTCGCGCCCAGAGCAGAAACCTGCCCAGTCATTGTCCAGTCCTCTCTCTTCCTCACTGACACATCAGAAAGTTGTCAATATTGTCACTTCTAACATCCAAATTTCTCTCACACCAACTCCTTTCCACTCTACCCCCTGCACACTACTCTCATCATTTCTTGTATAGTTTTTTCTTCTTCTTAAAAAATATTATTTTATTTTATTTTATGTTCTGGGATGCATGTGCAGGATGTACAGGTTTGCTACATAGGTAAACTTGTGCCATGGTGGTTTGCTGCACCCATCAACCCATCACCTAGGTATTAAGCCTCGCATGCATTAGCTACTTTTTTAATTATTATACTTTAAGTTCTGGGGTATGTGTGCAGAATGTGCAGGTTTGTTACATAGTTATACACGTGCCATGGTGGCTTGCTGCACCCATCAACCCATCATCTACATTAGGTATTTCTCCTAATGCTATCTCTCCCCTAGCCCCCCACCCCATGACAGGCCCCATTGTGGATGTTCCCCTCCCTGTGTCCATGTGTTCTCATTGTTCAACTCCCACTTATGAGTGAGAACATGCGGTGTTTGGTTTTCTGTTCTTGTGTTAGTTTGCTGAGAATGATGGTTTCCAGCATCATCCATTTCCCTGCAGAACATGAACTCATCCTTTTTCATGGCTGCATAGTATTCCATGGTGTATATGTGCCACATTTTCTTTATCCAAGGTATCATTGATGGGCATTTGGGTTGGTTCCAAGTCTTTGCTATTGTGAACAGTGCTGTAATAAACATATGTGTACATGTCTTTTGGTATGTATCTTTGGGTATATATCCAGTAATGGGATTGCTGGGTCGAATGGTATTTCTAGTTCCAGATCATTCAGGAATTGCCACACTGTCTTCCACCATGGTTGAACTAATTTACACTCCCACCAACAGT
Organism: Homo sapiens; assembly: GCF_000001405.40. Classification (NCBI taxonomy): domain Eukaryota; kingdom Metazoa; phylum Chordata; class Mammalia; order Primates; family Hominidae; genus Homo; species Homo sapiens. The sequence continues at coordinate 63,106,974 of NC_000014.9, forward strand.
GTATAAGTGTTCCTATTTCTCCACATCACCTCCAGCATCTGTTGTTTACTGACTTTTTAATGATCGCCATTCTAACTGGTGTGAGATGGTATCTCATTGTGGTTTTGATTTGCATTTCTCTAATGACCAGTGATGATGAGATTTTTTTAATATGTCAGTTGGCTGCATGAATGTCTTCTTTTGAGAATTGACTGTTCATATCCTTTGTCCACTTTTTGATGAGGTTGGTTGTTTTTTTTCTAGTATATTTCTTTAATTTTTTTATAGATTCTGAATATTAGCCCTTTATCAAATGGATAGATTGCAAAATTTTTCTCCCATTCTGTAGGTTGCCTGTTCACTCTGGTGATAGTTTCTTTTGCTGTGCAGAAGCTCTTTAGTTTAATCAGATCCCATTCGTCAATTTTGGCTTTTGTTGCCATTACCTTTGGTGTTTTAGACATGAAGTCCTTGCCCATGCCTATGTCCTGAATGGTATTGCCTAGGTTTTCTTCTAGGGTTTTTATGGTTTTAGGTCTTAAGTTTAAGCCTTTACTCCATCTTGAATTAATTTTTGTATAAGGTTTAAGGAAGGGATCCAGTTTCAACTTTCTGCATATGGCTAGCCAGTTTTCCTAACACCGTTTATTAAATAGGGAATCCTTTCCCCATTTCTTGTTTTTGTCACGTTTGTCAAAGATTAGATGGTTGTAGATGTGCGGTATTATTTCTGAGGCCTCTGTTCTGTTCCATTGGTCTATATATCTGTTTTGGTACCAGTACCATGCTATTTTGGTTACTATAGCCTTGTAGTATAGTTTGAAGTCAGGTAGCGTGATGCCTCCAGCTTTGTTCTTTTCACTTAGGATTGTCTTGCCTATGTGGGCTCTTTTTTGGTTCCATATGAAATTTATAGTAGTTTTTTCCAATTCTGTGAAGAAAGTCATTGGTAGCTTGATGGGGATGGCATTGAATCTATAAATTACTTTAGGCAGCATGGTCATTTTCACAATATTGATTTTTCCTATCCATGAGCATGGAATGTTTTTCCATTTGTTTGTGTCCTCTCTTATTTCCTTGAGCAGTGGTTTGTAGTTTTCCTTGAAGAGGTCCTTCACATCCCTTGTAAGTTGTACTCCTAGGTATCTTATTCTTTTTGCAGCAATTGTGAATGGGAGATTTCACTCATGATTTGGCTCTCTGTCTGTTATTGGTATATAGGAATGCTTGTGATATTTGCACATTGATTTTGTATCCTGAGACTTTGCTGAAGTTGCTTATCAGCTTAAGCAGATTTTGGGCTGAGACAATGGGGTTTTCTGAATATACAATCATGTCATCTGCAAACAGAGACAATTTGACTCCCTCTCTTCCTATTTGAATACGCTTTATTTCTTTCTTTTGCCTGATTGCCCTGGCCAGAACTTCCAGTAGTATGTTGAATAGGAGTGGTGAGAGAGGGCATCCTTGTCTTGTGCTGGTTTTCAAAAGGAATGCTTCCAGTTTTCGCCCATTCAGTATGATGTTGGCTGTGGGTTTGTCATAAACAGCTCTTATAATTTTGAGATACGTTCCATCAATGCCAAGTTTATTGAGAGTTTTTAGCATGAAGGGCTGTTGAATTTTGTCAGAGGCCTTTTCTGCATCTATTGAGACAATCATGCGGTTTTTGTCATTGGTTCTGTTTATGTGATGGATTACGTTTATTGATTTGCGTATGTTGAACCGCCTTGTATCACAGGGATGAAGCCAACTTGATCATGGTGGATAAGCTTTTTGATGTGCTGCTGGATTCCGTTTGTCAGTATTTTATTGAGGATTTTGCATCGAGTTCATCAAGGATATTGGCCTGAAATTTTCTTTTTTTGTTGTGTCTCTGCCAGGTTTTGGTATCAGGATGATGCTGGCCTCATAAAATGAGTTAGGGAGGATTCCTTCTTTCTCTATTGTTTGGAATAGTTTCAGAAGTAATGGTACCAGCTCACCTTTGTACCTCTGGTAGAATTTGGCTGTGAATCTCTCTGGTCCTGGGCTTTTTTTTTGGTTGGTAGGATATTAATTGCTGCCTCAGTTTCAGAACTTGTTATTGGTCTAATCAGGGATTCAACTTCTTCTTGGTTTAGTCTTAGGAGGGCATATGTGTCTATGAATTTGTCCATTTCTTCTAGATTTTCTAGTTTATTTGCATAGAGGTGTTTATAGTATTTTCTGATGGTAGTTTCTATTTCTGTGGGATCAGTAGTGATATCACCTTTATCATTTTTATTGCATCTATTTGATTCTTCTCTCTTTTCTTATTTATTAGTCTGGCTAGTGGTCTATCTATTTTTGTTGATCTTTTCCAAAATAACAGCTCCTGGATTCATTGATTTTTTGAAGGGTTTTTTGTGTCTCTATCTCCTTCAGTTCTGCTCTGATCTTAGTTATTTCTTGTCTTCTGCTGGCTTTTGAAGTTGGTAAACCCTGTGGTGGTACATCTGCCTCCTGTGATCTACCCTTCATCCTACAGCCACAGTGCGATTTCTAAAACAAACATCCAAAGCTATTTTCCTTTCTTAAAAGTTTTCTTTTTCCAGAGCTACAGGATAAAGTTTGAACTCCTCCCGGTACCCTGCAAGCCCCATCATGATTTGCTCTCACTTCTTCTCCAGCCTAATCTCTTAGCCTTTGTCACTCATGGGGAGAGGTGGCCTTACTAATAAATTGATTTAGACTCCAGGTTTTGAAGCCAGACTGCCTGAGCTTGAATCTTGGCTCTGTCACTTAGTGACTTACCTGAGAAAGTCATTTGACCTCTCTGTGCCTCTGATTTCCCACTGGTAACATGGATGTAATAATATTCCCTGAAAGTTAAGTAAGGCAGTATATGTAAAGGATGTGGAAGAGTGCCTAGCACATAGTAAGTGCTCAATAATAGTTAACTGCCATGAACTTTACAATCATCCAATTTCTCTAAACCCGATGTTTTGTTCCTATCTCTGTTCATCTTCCTTGGATCCCCTTCCTTATTTTGTTTGCCAGACAAAGTCCTTCTCCCTGTTCAAAAGTCATTTCTACTGGGCCCTTAAAACTTGAAAAACAAATTCTTAAGCCTGTGTTCTCCATTCAATAAAAAGAGACCTTGAAAATTTATAGAAAAAAAATTTTTCAGATTGCAGATCTAACATGATAAAGGAATTCTTCATTATTTATTTATTCATTTATTTATTTAACAAGCATTTTTGAATACCTTATTATAGGCACTACTCTAAGGGCAGAGAATACAAAGATTATCAATACAAGCATTCAAAATCAAAATCCAGACTAGTGTTGTCTAGTAGAACCTTCTGTGATTATACAAATGCTCTGTGTATTAGTCTCTTCTCACACTGCTAATAAAGAAATACCTGAGACTGGGTAATCTGTAAAGGAAAGAGGTTGAATTGACTCACAGTTCCACATGGCTGGGGAAGCCTCACAATCATGGCTGATGGCGAATGAGTAGCAAAGTCATGTCTTACATTGTGGCAGGCAAGAAAGCTTGTGCAGGGGAACTCACATTCATGAAACCCTCAGATCTCGTGAGACTTATTTACTATCACAAGAACAGTATAGCGGAAACCACTCATATGATTCAATTATCTCCACCCGGCCCCACCCTTGATACGTGGGGATTATTATAACTCAAGGTGAGGTTTGGGTGGGGACACAGAGCCAAACCATATCACTCTGACCAATATGGTAACCACTAACCAGCTGTGGCTATGAAGCATTTGAGATATGAGTTGTGAAGCTGAGGAAATGAATATTCAATTGTATTTAATTCTAATTAATTTAAATCTAAATAGCCACATGTAGCTAGTAACTACCTCATTAGACAGGATAGTCTAGACCCATATATGAAGAAATAGCTGTCAGGTGAACAGGACCATAGAGAAGATATGTATAAAGTAACATGGGGCCACAGAGGAATGAGTGAACAATTGTTTTTAGGAGTTGGGGAAAAGCTTAAAATATTTGGTCACAAAGAATGAGTAAATTATAGGGAAATATGGTGCTAACTAAGCTTCCTCCAGCTTTGATAGGGTATGAAAAAGTGGTTGGCAACTGATCTGGGAAATTAGTGAAGCCCTTACAAGCTCGGATTTGGTGTCACTGAATGCTTTCTTCAAGAGATATATATTGTTTGGTTGTTTTTCAATCCTCAGTATTACCAAAGAGGCACAATTTGGAGGGAATGTAGAGGAATGAATGAAGGTGAGGGAATGATGCTCTGCATCATAATGTGAAATATTTCATTTGGAGGGAAGTAGCCTCAGAATTTGTAATGCAATTGGGAATATTTTTCCATTTTGTAGGTTTATACTTTACTATCTCTGAGAATTTATACTGTCCTCAGAGTGTATGTGTGGTAGTGTGGGGTGTGTGTGTGTGTGTGTGTGTGTGTGCGCACGCACATGTATGTTTGAGAGAGAGAGGGCAACAGCAACAAAGAAAGAGAGAAAAAAACAGTTAATCACTAACAAAGAATACAAAGGGCATATTTGCCGCTCATTTAATAGAGAGATTTGAAGGGGAAGAAGTCTGAGAGCTCAAGCCCACCTAGATTGTCTCCCAGAGCTGGATTCCTTTCCAAGGCCATCTAAGACTGCCCCACCCAGATGTCCTAAGGCACATTTCCAAACTATCACTCAAACTTAAAGAAATTTACTATTGGGTAAAAGAGATGGATGTTGAGGCCAGACTTGCCCCTGTGGAGAGAATTTCCAAAAGATGGGCAGAGATTCACCCAAAGGAAATTAGAAGAGAAGGTAAGCCTCAGAATACAGGAATAAGGTTGGGAAATGTTACAGGGAATGATGATGGCCCACAAAGTGGCTATCTGACAATGATTTAACCTCTTGGGTACATTTCTGTTGAGCCATGGGAAAGATAATGCTTTGAAGAAAGTGTTAAATGTCTTCCTCTAGTACAACTTAGCACAGCAAACTCTTGAAAGGAAGTGAAGAAGAACATGAAGAAAAACAGTGATCCCTGCTATATTGTTTGTTATCTCTACTACCTCCTCCACCAAACACTCCACAGTGGCCCTTGAGACATGGACAATGTTGTCTTGAAGGAGCTGTGGGTCATTTGTTACTGGGTTTAACTCTTAGCAAATAAATTCATGTCCATTGGCAGAGTGAAGAGTAGTGAGTAGCAAGACAAGACTCAGAAAAGGAATGGTCAAATTAATAGAAGGGGAGGAGACCCCAGGCTGTTCCTTTCTCTAACACACACATGCACACACACATACACACACTCATACTCCAACTACCTAAATACACTAAGGGATGAAAAATGCTAATATTTTCATAACAAGGAGAAATACATTCCAATGAGGTTATATGCAATGTATTATCTAATATTTGAGAATTCTCCGTAAATCCATATACAGTAATACCTAATTGAGTCTACTTGAAGAAAAATACCAATCTGAATTTGTGAAAAATCTGAATCATGGATGATTTTTAAAGATATGCAATTGCATTACTTTTTAATAAGCTGTACACACCTAGTGACCTCTGCCAAGTAGAGGCCCACAAGATCTGCATTAATGGTTAGCTAGTTAGCAACACTGGCAAACAAAACCATTGGCAAGCAGTCTGCTAAAGCACCTGAAAGTTTTTGTGCACTTGCTTCCTTCTTCTCGTTTGACTATTCATTTGACACCTTTGTTCTTCATGAATGGTATACCTGTAAACTCCAAACCAAACTTTGTTCAAAATTATACTAATGGAGTCTAAATTAATGAAATTTTACTTTATTCATCTGAAAACACCACCAGCTTAGTAGCCAACAATGTCACAAGCTGACAAGAAAAAGTGATTCTGCAAAACTCTTTTACTGAGCTGGTAGACCATGTCCAATTTTCTGGACTCAGTGCTCTAAAGAATTCTGCTGCCTCTCTTATTTTCAAAGTAGCTAGCTATAAATGTCAGTAAATGCCAGCCTCCCAGTAAGTAATGGGAAAAAGGAGAAGTTAGGAGATACTGAGTGCGTGGGTACTACTGATTGTCCAAAAAGCCTGTAGCGCATGGCATGGGAGATCAAATACAACCTACCAACCATATATTGTTTAAAGTATTAAGTAAGCATAATTTGATTTAGGAAAACCACACACAACATAAGGAATATTATCAAAGCGAGTCCGTGAACATGGTGCAAGGCAGGTCCAACTTGAGCCTAAGAAGCAGATAGCAGCTAGAGGCAGGGTCTAGAGGTGCCATGCTGGCCTTGCATCCCAGGCAAAGCAAATCCTTTGCTGTTGCTTTCCAATATGACCCAACTCTAGCCCACAAGTCAAGAACAGTACTTCTTCCCCTTTGGGTTTCAGCCATGGCATGCTGGTAAATATTTAACAGTTGGTTCTCTGGGTGTAGTTCCGACCTGAATTTTGATTGATGTTTTGGTTAATGTTAATGAGTAAGATAACTGTGAAATAATTAAAATCTATGTTGAAGCTTCACTAGTTCATCAAGGACGTGAACAGCTTCTTTGCCAAACCACTTAAGAGTTTCCTAATACTAAAAGAATATTTTCTCAATTTGTTGTGCAATTCACAACAAAACAGCTAAACCACCACACACTGAAGTTTAATCTGCATTATTAACATTTTCCCCACCACTTTCTTAGGTCTAGATAGACAATCAACACAACAATAAATGAGGTGTTCATTTGTAGCGTTTGCTGATTCCATGGTATAAACACTCCCACTATGACCCTTCCCAGCTACCAACATGTTGTCATTGAATGCAGAATTGGGAAGAGATGAGCAGTAGCACACGATTATATAGTTTTCATCACATAGACAAAATAAACATAAAAAGCTTCAAAGGCAGAGATAACAGAGTAAAATAATTAAGAAGTAATGAGTTTTGAATGTTTATTTCCTTTGTTTTTAATATAATTTATTTCATTATAAGTTTACATAATTCACTTTTTAATGATGTGCATGTTTAACAGCCAGCTTAAAAAATTCCTGAATTTAACAACCAGCTCTCAGGGGCCAACAGAGCTAGCTCCAGCATACTACTGTTGCAGCCATAACCTAAATATGTAAAATATTATCCTGAACAAAAGTAACATGTAATCTACTTGTATCCTTTAATATACCAGTATGGGTGAGCTTCAGAGACTAAACTTAGAGAACAGAGCACTGCAGGCAAGAGACACAATGCCTAAAAAAATTATGGCTAATACTAATAACAACCCCCAAAATACAGGAATAGACACAAAGCATTAAGCATGTCAGAAAGGGGCTTGCATTAAGAAGTTCATGGATGAGGCCGGACGCAGTGGCTCACGCCGGTAGTCCCGGCACTTTGGGAGGCGGAGGACGGGGGATCACTTGAGGTCAGGAGTTCGAGACCAGCCCGGCTAACATGGTGAAACCCCATCTCTACTAAAAATATAAAAATTAGGCAGGCATGGTGGCGGGAGCCTGTAATACCAGCTACTGGGGAGGCTGAGGCAGAAGAATTGCTTGAATCCAGGAGGCAGAGGTTGCAGTGAGCCGAGATCACACCACTGTACTCCAACCTGGGCAACAGAGTGAGACTCCATCTCAAAAAAGAAAAAAAAAAAGGAAGTCCATGGATGAGACTTGCAGTTTTCTATCTAATACCTATTCTCCTTATAGGTGAGACTGTCAGCCACCTAGCCAATACTCATTCTCTCCTTCTTTCTTACTGAAAGAACACTGTTATTATTTGAAGCAACCATAGACACAACTAAGAAATTATACTTTCCAGCCTCCTTTGCAGCTAGGGGCGGCCATGTGACAGTTGGAGCCAAAGAGAAATAAGTGGAAGTCACTGGATAGGGCTTCCAAGAAAGTTCTTTGAAAGAATATTTGATATTTGAGCAGTATGATAGATGAAGCCAGGTCCCTGTGTCATCGTAGAACAATCCTGCCAACGCTACACTGCCCACTTTCAATTCCTCACTACATGAGAAAACAAAAGCACATAATTAGTTTAAGCTACTCTCACCTGGATGTGCTGCTACAAGCAGCTGAACTAAAAAGCATAATTAATAAGGAATCAACACGAAATGACTGGGAAAGATTGTCAAATGAGAATATAATAAAGCTCAACCATCAGTATCACCATTCCAGTTTAAAGTGCATCTGATAAAGAATCCTTCATTAACTCTCATTCAACCTCCTACCATTTACAAGGACCAGAAAGAGAAAACGTGGGTTGTTATTATATTATAAAAATGTGCAAGGAATTTCAACTGTAAAGCTATTAAAGTAGGAATGAAAAATAACTGGCGGCCCATATATGCTTTGATACCAGAAGCATAGGTAACAAGATGACTAAAAGAAGGCAGAGAAATAATATATCCTTCTGCCTCTTTTTTAGCCAGTGCTCCTTTGTTTCCAATTCAACAATGTAGCTGGATGATAGAAATCTAATTAAAATGAGCATAAAAGTTCAGGCAGAGCTTAACCTAGGAGTTTAAACAGTATTATTAAGATAGCTCCTCTTCATATTTTGACTGTCTTTTCTTGGGTTGGTTGAACTGAATGGATCTCAGGCTCCATGCCGTAGCCCTTTATGTCTCATTGGCTCTGCCTGGGACACATCCCATCTTTGAATGAATCACTGTGATCCGGGGAAGGGACATGCAATGCTCTGATTGGCCATGCCAGAGCCACTGCCTTCTTTCTGGAGCCAAGAGAGAAGCCCCTTTGAAACCATAGGAACTGTGTGGAACAGCATCACTCACTGCCAGATTTCTACCATCAGGGAGAGTAAGATGTAAAAAACTACGCCTTGGCCACCTTCTTATAGGTCTGATTTTCTAAGAAGGCATCACTTTGGGAAAATGTGCTCTAATAAAATTGTTGCTTCCCTGTTCCCACCCCATATAGCCCTGGAGAATACAGAAGGGGTAGTTCTCTGAAGAAAAAAAAATGAATTTATTACCAGAAAAAGTGAGAATACATATGGGATGGCCAAAATGATGTCCATTATACTTACTATTTGCCCTCAGGTCAGAAGTTCTGAGTTTGCACTAATGGGAAACTGAGCATGTCCCTCTCCCATAATGGTAATTCATTCTGAGACATCACTCCCCACACTGCTCAAGTAGTGCCACATCACTTTCTGCATATACCAGGTGACTGCAACTTCACTTCACAGAAACAACTAAATAGGAAGGCGGGAAAAGGAGCATGAGCCAGTATTTCATCCTGAGATACACAATCCTTTGTGTAAAACCTTGAAGGGAAGTAAAAAAAGAAAGAGTCCTGGATGAAGAAGATGCTGTGGATTATAATTTTTCATGCACCACAATGAATTACAGAGTCAGAGGCAGTAGAAGTACAATACGATCCTACCTCCACAAGGCAGTGCCACACCACATGAATGCCCATCAGACCGTAGAATTAAATTGGGAGTACTTCATGCCAAAAACAAGAGGATGGTGACATATTTGTCAGGTATACAGAAACAAAAATTAAGCCAGGGACACATACCAATTACAGGCAAAGACTTAAGCAGCAAAAAGACAGAAATCTGTGTTGACAAAACAAAGCACCATAAATTTGTATAAGCCAACTATATAAAGCAAAAACTATGATGAACAAGAAGAAGAACTAGTTAGATTATTTTAGATTGACAAAAACAAAAATAAAATTACTACACATCAAAACTGATCAGTAATATAACATTCATATAATAGAGTATTATTTTAGTCAATTACTCCATTAAGGACAGATTTTTTTTTTTTTTTTTTTAATTATACTCTAAGTTTTAGGGTACATGTGCACATTGTGCAGGTTAGTTACATATGTATACATGTGCCATGCTGGTGCGCTGCACCCACTAATGTGTCATCTAGCATTAGGTATATCTCCCAATGCTATCCCTCCCCCCTCCCCCGACCCCACCACAGTCCCCAGAGTGTGATATTCCCCTTCCTGTGTCCATGTGATCTCATTGTTCAATTCCCACCTATGAGTGAGAATATGCGGTGTTTGGTTTTTTGTTCTTGCGATAGTTTACTGAGAATGATGGTTTCCAATTTCATCCATGTCCCTACAAAGGATATGAACTCATCATTTTTTATGGCTGCATAGTATTCCATGGTGTATATGTGCCACATTTTCTTAATCCAGTCTATCATTGTTGGACATTTGGGTTGGTTCCAAGTCTTTGCTATTGTGAATAGTGCCTCAATAAACATACGTGTGCATGTGTCTTTATAGCAGCATGATTTATAGTCCTTTGGGTATATACCCAGTAATGGGATGGCTGGGTCAAATGGTATTTCTAGTTCTAGATCCCTGAGGAATCGCCACACTGACTTCCACAATGGTTGAACTAGTTTACAGTCCCACCAACAGTGTAAAAGTGTTCCTATTTCTCCACATCCTCTCCAGCACCTGTTGTTTCCTGACTTTTTAATGATTGCCATTCTAACTGGTGTGAGATGATATCTCATAGTGGTTTTGATTTGCATTTCTCTGATGGCCAGTGATGATGAGCATTTCTTCATGTGTTTTTTGGCTGCATAAATGTCTTCTTTTGAGAAGTGTCTGTTCATGTCCTTCGCCCACTTTTTGATGGGGTTGTTTGTTTTTTTCTTGTAAATTTGTTTGAGTTCATTGTAGATTCTGGATATTAGCCCTTTGTCAGATGAGTAGGTTGCGAAAATTTTCTCCCATGTTGTAGGTTGCCTGTTCACTCTGATGGTAGTTTCTTTTGCTGTGCAGAAGCTCTTTAGTTTAATTAGATCCCATTTGTCAATTTTGGCTTTTGTTGCCATTGCTTTTGGTGTTTTGGACATGAAGTCCTTGCCCACGCCTATGTCCTGAATGGTAATGCCTCGGTTTTCTTCTAGGGTTTTTATGGTTTTAGGTCTAACGTTTAAATCTTTAATCCATCTTGAATTGATTTTTGTATAAGGTGTAAGGAAGGGATCCAGTTTCAGCTTTCTACATATGGCTAGCCAGTTTTCCCAGCACCATTTATTAAATAGGGAATCCTTTCCCCATTGCTTGTTTTTCTCAGGTTTGTCAAAGATCAGATAGTTGTAGATATGTGGCATTATTTCTGAGGGCTCTGTTCTGTTCCATTGATCTGTATCTCTGTTTTGGTACCAGTACCATGCTGTTTTGGTTACTGTAGCCTTGTAGTATAGTTTGAAGTCAGGTAGTGTGATGCCTCCAGCTTTGTTCTTTTGGCTTAGGATTGACTTGGCAATGCGGGCTCTTTTTTGGTTCCATATGAACTTTAAAGTAGTTTTTTCCAATTCTGTGAAGAAAGTCATTGGTAGCTTGATGGGGATGGCATTGAATCTGTAAATTACCTTGGGCAGTATGGCCATTTTCATGATATTGATTCTTCCTACCCATGAGCATGGAATGTTCTTCCATTTGTTTGTGTCCTCTTTTATTTCCTTCAGCAGTGGTTTGTAGTTCTCCTTGAAGAGGTCCTTCACATCCCTTGTAAGTTGGATTCCTAGGTATTTTATTCTCTTTGAAGCAATTGTGAATGGGAGTTCACCCATGATTTGGCTCTCTGTTTGTCTGTTGTTAGTGTATAAGAATGCTTGTGATTTTTGTACATTGATTTTGTATCCTGAGACTTTGCGGAAGTTGCTTATCAGCTTAAGGAGATTTTGGGCTGAGACGATGGGGTTTTCTAGATAAACAATCATGTCGTCTGCAAACAGGGACAATTTGACTTCCTCTTTTCCTAATTGAATACCCTTTATTTCCTTCTCCTGCCTGATTGCCCTGGCCAGAACTTCCAACACTATGTTGAATAGGAGCGGTGAGAGAGGGCATCCCTGTCTTGTGCCAGTTTTCAAAGGGAATGCTTCCAGTTTTTGCCCATTCAGTATGATATTGGCTGTGGGTTTGTCATAGATAGCTCTTATTATTTTGAAATACGTCCCATCAATACCTAATTTATTGAGAGTTTTTAGCATGAAGGGTTGTTGAATTTTGTCAAAGGCTTTTTCTGCATCTATTGAGATAATCATGTGGTTTTTGTCTTTGGCTCTGTTTATATGCTGGATTACATTTATTGATTTGCGTATATTGAACCAGCCTTGCATCCCAGGGATGAAGCCCACTTGATCATGGTGGATAAGCTTTTTGATGGGCTGCTGGATTCGGTTTGCCAGTATTTTATTGAGGATTTTTGCATCAATGTTCATCAAGGATATTGGTCTAAAATTCTCTTTTTTGGTTGTGTCTCTGCCCGGCTTTGGTATCAGAATGATGCTGGCCTCATAAAATGAGTTAGGGAGGATTCCCTCTTTTTCTATTGATTGGAATAGTTTCAGAAGGAATGGTACCAGTTCCTCCTTGTACCTCTGGTAGAATTCGGCTGTGAATCCATCTGGTCCTGGACTCTTTTTGGTTGGTAAACTATTGATTATTGCCACAATTTCAGAGCCTGTTATTGGTCTATTCAGAGATTCAACTTCTTCCTGGTTTAGTCTTGGGAGAGTGTATGTGTCGAGGAATGTATCCATTTCTTCTAGATTTTCTAGTTTATTTGCGTAGAGGTGTTTGTAGTATTCTCTGATGGTAGTTTGTATTTCTGAGGGATCAGTGGTGATATCCCCTTTATCATTTTTTATTGTGTCTATTTGATTCTTCTCTCTTTTTTTCTTTATTAGTCTTGCTAGCGGTCTATCAATTTTGTTGATCCTTTCAAAAAACCAGCTCCTGGATTCATTGATTTTTTGAAGGGTTTTTTGTGTCTCTATTTCCTTCAGTTCTGCTCTGATTTTAGTTATTTCTTGCCTTCTGATAGCTTTTGAATGTGTTTGCTCTTGCTTTTCTAGTTCTTTTAATTGTGATGTTAGGGTGTCAATTTTGGATCTTTCCTGCTTTCTCTTGTAGGCATTTAGTGCTATAAATTTCCCTCTACACACTGCTTTGAATGCGTCCCAGAGATTCTGGTATGTGGTGTCTTTGTTCTCGTTGGTTTCAAAGAACATCTTTATTTCTGCCTTCATTTCGTTATGTACCCAGCAGTCATTCAGGAGCAGGTTGTTCAGTTTCCATGTAGTTGAGCGGCTTTGAGTGAGATTTTTAATCCTGAGTTCTAGTTTGATTGCACTGTGGTCTGAGAGATAGTTTGTTATAATTTCTGTTCTTTTACATTTGCTGAGGAGAGCTTTACTTCCAACTATGTGGTCAATTTTGGAATAGGTGTGGTGTGGTGCTGAAAAAAATGTATATTCTGTTGATTTGGGGTGGAGAGTTCTGTAGATGTCTATTAGGTCTGCTTGGTGCAGAGCTGAGTTCAATTCCTGGGTATCCTTGTTGACTTTCTGTCTCGTTGATCTGTCTAATGTTGACAGTGGGGTGTTAAAGTCTCCCATTATTAATGTGTGGGAGTCTAAGTCTCTTTGTAGGTCACTGAGGACTTGCTTTATGAATCTGGGTGCTCCTGTATTGGGTGCATAAATATTTAGGATAGTTAGCTCCTCTTGTTGAATTGATCCCTTTACCATTATGTAATGGCCTTCTTTGTCTCTTTTGATCTTTGTTGGTTTAAAGTCTGTTTTATCAGAGACTAGGATTGCAACCCCTGCCTTTTTTTGTTTTCCATTGGCTTGGTAGATCTTCCTCCATCCTTTTATTTTGAGCCTATGTGTGTCTCTGCACGTGAGATGGGTTTCCTGAATACAGCACACTGATGGGTCTTGACTCTTTATCCAATTTGCCAGTCTGTGTCTTTTAATTGCAGAATTTAGTCCATTTATATTTAAAGTTAATATTGTTATGTGTGAATTTGATCCTGTCATGATGATGTTAGCTGGTGATTTTGCTCATTAGTTGATGCAGTTTCTTCCTAGTCTCGATGGTCTTTACATTTTGGCATGATTTTGCAGCGGCTGGTACCGGTTGTTCCTTTCCATGTTTAGCGCTTCCTTCAGGAGCTCTTTTAGGGCAGGCCTGGTGGTGACAAAATCTCTCAGCATTTGCTTGTCTATAAAGTATTTTATTTCTCCTTCACTTATGAAGCTTAGTTTGGCTGGATATGAAATTCTGGGTTGAAAATTCTTTTCTTTAAGAATGTTGAATATTGGCCCCCACTCTCTTCTGGCTTGTAGGGTTTCTGCCGAGAGATCCGCTGTTAGTCTGATGGGCTTTCCTTTGAGGGTAACCCGACCTTTCTCTCTGGCTGCCCTTAACATTTTTTCCTTCATTTCAACTTTGGTGAATCTGACAATTATGTGTCTTGGAGTTGCTCTTCTCGAGGAGTATCTTTGTGGCGTTCTCTGTATTTCCTGAATCTGAACGTTGGCCTGCCTTGCTAGATTGGGGAAGTTCTCCTGGATAATATCCTGCAGAGTGTTTTCCAACTTGGTTCCATTCTCCACATCACTTTCAGGTACACCAATCAGACGTAGATTTGGTCTTTTCACATAGTCCCATATTTCTTGGAGGCTTTGCTCATTTCTTTTTATTCTTTTTTCTCTAAACTTCCCTTCTCGCTTCATTTCATTCATTTCATCTTCCATTGCTGATACCCTTTCTTCCAGTTGATCGCATCGGCTCCTGAGGCTTCTGCATTCTTCACGTAGTTCTCGAGCCTTGGTTTTCAGCTCCATCAGCTCCTTTAAGCACTTCTCTGTATTGGTTATTCTAGTTATACATTCTTCTAAATTTTTTTCAAAGTTTTCAACTTCTTTGCCTTTGGTTTGAATGTCCTCCCGTAGCTCAGAGTAATTTGATCGTCTGAAGCCTTCTTCTCTCAGCTCGTCAAAATCATTCTCCATCCAGCTTTGTTCTGTTGCTGGTGAGGAACTGCGTTCCTTTGGAGGAGGAGAGGCGCTCTGCGTTTTAGAGTTTCCAGTTTTTCTGTTCTGTTTTTTCCCCATCTTTGTGGTTTTATCTACTTTTGGTCTTTGATGATGGTGATGTACAGATGGGTTTTCGGTGTAGATGTCCTTTCTGGTTGTTAGTTTTCCTTCTAACAGACAGGAACCTCAGCTGCAGGTCTGTTGGAATACCCTGCCGTGTGAGGTGTCAGTGTGCCCCTGCTGGGGGGTGCCTCCCAGTTAGGCTGCTCGGGGGTCAGGGGTCAGGGACCCACTTGAGGCAGTCTGCCCGTTCTCAGATCTCCAGCTGCGTGCTGGGAGAACCACTGCTCTCTTCAAAGCTGTCAGACAGGGACACTTAAGTCTGCAGAGGTTACTGCTGTCTTTTTGTTTGTCTGTGCCCTGCCCCCAGAGGTGGAGCCTACAGAGGCAGGCAGGCCTCCTTGAGCTGTGGTGGGCTCCACCCAGTTCGAGCTTCCCGGCTGCTTTGTTTACCTAAGCAAGCCTGGGCAATGGCGGGCGCCCCTCCCCCAGCCTCGTTGCCGCCTTGCAGTTTGATCTCAGACTGCTGTGCTAGCAATCAGCGAGATTCCGTGGGCGTAGGACCCTCTGAGCCAGGTGTGGGATATAGTCTCGTGGTGCGCCGTTTCTTAAGCCGGTCTGAAAAGCGCAATATTCGGGTGGGAGTGACCCGATTTTCCAGGTGCGTCCGTCACCCCTTTCTTTGACTCGGAAAGGGAACTCCCTGACCCCTTGCGCTTCCCAGGTGAGGCAATGCCTCGCCCTGCTTCGGCTCGCGCACGGTGCGCACACACACTGGCCTGCGCCCACTGTCTGGCACTCCCTAGTGAGATGAACCCGGTACCTCAGATGGAAATGCAGAAATCACCCGTCTTCTGCGTCGCTCACGCTGGGAGCTGTAGACCGGAGCTGTTCCTATTCGGCCATCTTGGCTCCCTCCTCTCTAAGGACAGATTTTAAACTTTCCCAGGAAAGATTTTAAAATCAATTCTCTCTCCCTCTTTTTATTATCCCAATCAGGTCTTTGTCCTATTGTATTCTTTATTTTTTCCTTCACTGATCTCTAGGCTACATTCTACTTGACATCTATACAATTATTTACTTAGTATATTTTATTGATCTATTGTTTTGACTCAAATACATTTATTTTAAAGAAGAACTGGTGGATAGGAAAATATAAACCAAGAGCAAAAGATAGAAAGGCCCATGCCCCGGGTCCACAACCACCAGCTTTGCTGGGATCCTGTCCCAGGGTCTTTGGATAGCCCCGCCTGAAGTGCCCATGACGGGCTACATGTTTGGTAAAGGGATCTATTTCGCTGACATGGCCTCCAAGAGTGCCAACTACTGCCATACATCTCAGGGAGGCCCAACAGGCTTAATCCTGTTGGGAGAAGTTGCCCTTGGAAAATGTATGAACTGAAGCACGCTTCACATATCAGCAAGTTACCCAAGGGCAAGCACAGTGTCAAAGGTTTGGGCAAAACTACCCCTGACCCTTCAGCTAGTATTACTCTGGATGGTGCAGAGGTTCCTCTTGGGACTGGGATTTCATCTGGTGTGAATGACACTTGTCTACTATATAATGAGTACATTGTCTATGATATTGCTCAGGTAAATCTGAAGTATCTGCTGAAACTGAAATTCAATTTTAAGACTTCCTTGTGGTAATTGGGAGAGGTGGCCAAGTCACTCCCGATGGCTCTGGTATAAATTCAGCCGAAGCCCTTCTGCACCAACTCACCTGGCCGGCTAAGTTGCTGATGGGTAGTACCTGTACTAAACCTCCTAAGAAAGGATTTTACAGAAACACATTAAAAGGTTTTCTCCAACTTTTCGAGTCCCTTGTTTTGTGTTGTGTTTGTGGGGAGGGGTTGTTTTGGGGTTGTTTTTGTTTTTTCTTGCCAGGTAGATAAAACTGACATAGAGAAAAGGCTGGAGAGAGATTCCATCCGCATAGACTAGTCCTGTGGAAAAAAAAAAAAAAAACAAGCTCCATTAGAATGTCTGCCTTACTGGTTTCCCCAGGGAAAGAAAAATATGTTTCCACCCTTTTTTCTAAGTGTTCATCTTTAGTTTTGATTTTGGAAAGTTGTTAAGCATTCATTTTTAGTTAAAAATAAAAACTAATTTCATACCATTAAAAAAAAAAAAAGAAAGAAAAGAAAGGCCTGTGCCCCTGGAGTGAGAGGGCAGGGATGAGAAACAGCAAAGGAGGCAGGTGTGAGGCATGTGTTCATTTGGAGCACTGCTATAACAAAGTACCATAGACAGGTGTCTTCAACAACAGAAATATTATTGTCCCACAGTTCTGGAAGCCAAAAATCCAGAACCACGGTGTTGGCAGGGTTCATTCTTTCCTTGAGCTATAAGGAAAGATCTGTTCCCGGCCTCTCTCCTTGGCTTGTGGAGGGCTGTCTTGCCCCGTGTGTCTTCATATCACCTTCTTTCTGCATGTGTCTCTCTCTCCATGTCCAAATTTCCCCTAAGATCTTATAAAGACACCAATCATATTGCATTAGGGCCCACCCTCATGACCTCATTTTAAACTGATTACAGACCTTATCGCCAAATAAGGTCATGTTCTGCAGTACTAGATGTTAGGATTCCAACATCTCTTTTTGGGAGGCTTGGGTCAGAATTTATAGGGAGACACAATCTGACCCATAACAGAAAGAATAGGTCTTTTGGAGAATAGACAAGAATAGAATTGGCATTGCCTGCTGCCCACTGGGTGAGGTCTCTATCTCTTTAATCAGCCCCTTATAATCACCACACTCGAGGAAACTCTTTCCTGCATGTTTTTTGAATTATCACCCCTCTACTCACACCACCCACCTCTCTCCTGACATAACTCAACCAGACCTACATTTTTCTATCTTCTGTTGAATTTCTAGTCACTTAATACACAAAACATTCATTTCTTTCTAACAAAACCAAAGCAATGTCACCACCCATGGGTGCAAGAATGGTATAAACCCCTTCACATCCAGCCCATCAATAGCCCCAATTTGTATAAATGAAGCCAGTAAGTCCCTCCCAGACTCTAAGACCAATCTTTGTCGTACACAAGGAATATCGGTCTAGCCTCAACCATTACTTCTGGTGCCACCCTGATAGAAAACTTCATTTTGTCAGCAATCAACGTCCTGCCTTGAGACCCAGGTTCCCTATGACTGAACCCCTACCCTGTATCCTTTTTATTCTTTAATAAGTTCCTAATTGATGTTCCAGCACCTTATCACTAGATTCTTGTTTGTCCCTTTAAGAGAAGGAGTTACGGCCGAGCATGGTGGCTCACACCTGTAATCCCAGCACTCTGGGAGGCCGACAGGGGTGGATCACCTGAGGTCAGGAGTATGAGACAAGCCTGGCCAACATTGTGAAACCCCATCTCTACTAAAAATACAAAAATTAGCTGAGTGAGGTGGCAGGTACTTGTAATCCCAGCTACTCGGGAGGCTGAAGCAGGAGAATCACTTGAACCTGGGAGGCAGAGGTTGCAGTGAGCCAAGATGGCCCACTGCACTCCAGCCAAGGTAACAGTGCAAGACTCCATCTAAAAAAAAAAAAAAGAAAAAAAGTAACTCCTTCTCTTTTTTGCTTTTTTTCTTTTTTTTTTGAGACGGAGTCTCTCTCTGTCACGCAGGATGGAGTGCAGTGGCAAATTACAATTTTTTAAATCTCTGCCTGCTATCTCAATCTAGACAAGAAATTGTATTCTAGCCCTTGGACTTCATTCTCCTTAGAACTGGCTCACTGATGTAGTTGCCAAAGCTTTATACTATTAAACACCCGTCCCCTTGAAATTCCACCAATTGTTGGTCCTGTCCCCACTTGGATATTGTGGCACCTCCACGTAGAAGGTATACAACAAATGGTTGTTGTTTTTTGAATAGACAGTAATTGATACTGGGTCTTGAATATTTGTTAATGTCACTTCTTCCTCACCAGACCAAGAACCAATAACCCAAAGGACATCTTCCTTCAGACTCACATCATTGACTATCTTTCTCTGGAAAGTCTTACTTTGCTCCCATGTACAAATCCCTGACCTTTGTTGGAATGACAAGTCTCTCCAGACTCAAATTCAGGACTGGGATTCATATCAAGTCTTGTCAGTCCTGGTTAGGTACTGGTCCCTCATGTTCATTATGGTTCCATTTTATGAAGCAATAGAAATTGCTAAGTTCTAAAACAAAGAAATGATCACACATCCTCCAAGTAACCTTAATAATTCCTCTTCAAGTACATCATGTTCTAAGATCACAGAATCACTCCAATAAAGTACAAGAAGAGTGTGCAGTAAAGGTTGAATTCAGGCCTGATTGATCAAGTCCTACACATTCTAAATAGAGGCCCTTCCTTGACAAGCTCCTAGGAGACAACCTCTGAACCCCTGAAATATCCTGCCTAATAAGAGTGTTTTTATACTTCTGAGACCTTGGGCCAGGCTGTATCAGTTTGACCAAATGGTTTTTAACAATGTGACTTGTGGTGAATGCCTATTTTCCTATGCCTGAGGTCTTGGGCCATGCTGGATTTGTTTGATCTCTTGGGAGCTGGACGCTAAGTAGTTAATGTCAGTCCTATGGGTGCTGCATAACCGTGAGCCCACCTGAATCACCGTGAAGCTAAAAATGCTGGACACCAAGGCTCAGGTAAGCTCCTCTGGTTGACATCGCTTTCCATGTGTTGTCACACATTGTTGCTGAGAGAACTAAGTGCATCCCTGTGACTCCACTGGGAAAGGACACCTGGAATCTTGTGCCTGATTTCTCCTTTATCTCCGGATTTTATGGGAAGTACACATGGAAGTGATGTCAACCAGGGGAGCTTACCTGAGCCTTGGTGTCCAGCATTTCTTGGGTGTTTGTTTGTTTGTTTGTTTTTTGAGACAGTCTCTCTCTGTTGCCCAGGCTGGAGTGCAGTGGCACCATCTCGGCTCACTGCAACCTCTGCCTCCTGGGTTCAAGCAATTTTCCTGTCTCAGCCTTCCAAATAGCTGGGACTACAGGCACAAACCACTAAAACTGGCTAATTTTTTTTTTTTTTTTTTTTTTATCTTTAGTTGAGACAGGGCTTCGTCATGTTGGCCAGGCTGGTCTCGAACTCCTGACCTCAGGTGATCTGCCAACCTCACCCCACCCCACCCCACCCCGCAAAGTGCTGAGATTACAGGCATGAGCAACACACCCAGCCAGTGCCCACCATTTCTATCTTTATAATGTTTGAGGTCAGCTCATAGTTATGCAGCACCCATATGACTGATACTAACTACTTAGAGTCTGACCCCTAAGAGATTAAACTGATCCAGCGTGGTCCAAAACCTGAGGCACAGGAAAACAGGCATTCACCACAAGCCACATTGTTAACATAAACCATCTGGTCAAACTGGTAAAAGGTGAATACCTTTTACCTTTGCTGGGATTAATCTGTATCTTTTCACTGTCATAAATAATAACTGTAAGCGTAACAGCTTTTCTGTGTCCCAAAAGTCCTTCTAGAAAATCATCAAGTCTGAAGGTTGGCCCTGGGAACCTCTGGCTGAAAGCCACTTTGAATGAATGTCGAAATGCGTAAAGAATCCAATTATTTTAGTATTTTTGTACCATAGATTTTTGGTACTTAGAACACTTAGACTTTTGTATAGATCTAAACTCACTGCCTTGGTTTTCACCTTTACATCAAATCCTCAAAACAAATCAACTGTCTCTAGACAAATTTTAAATGCCTGAATGCATTGACCAAAAATTCAACCTCTATAGATTTAGCAAAAGAAAGTGCTAACACATATTCACATGGATATGTGTAGAAGGATATTCATTTCTGTATTACTTGTAAAATACCCGAGGCAACTTATATGTCCTTCAACACAGATATGTAACAATACATAGTGGAATATCCTTACTATGGAACATTGTGTAACTGAGAACATATAAGGAGTGCAATCAGGAAAGATTATCGGGGGATAAAAGACAAGTATGCAGAACACAGCTCATTTTTGTAAAAACAAAATAAAATCCTAATTATTTCAGTTGCATACACATAGCAAAAGAGCCTGGAACCTCACCAATCTGATGCCAGTGGGTACCAGAGAGCAAGGAAATAAAATTGGAATAAGAAGACATTTATTCAGTGATATTTAAATATTTTTTAACCAACACATCTTATTTTTGTAATTTTCACAGATTTTAAAATAGCAAACATCTCAATTTTTAACCACTTTGCCTTTATATACAATGCCAAGACCACTTGGTACTTGTCAGCAAAATCCAGTGATGTTAGAATGAGTATTGCACGTAGCTCCACCTCTCCCTCTGGGGAAATCTCACCTGAGCTGTGCTCCTGGATTAGCAGATGTGGTCTGGCTCACCCGCTATGAGAATGGGTGGCTGGAGAGGAGCTGGCAGACATCCTGCAAGAGAACGAGGCTCCTTGATAAGTGCTTTTTTGACCTTACTGTAACTAGTCATAAAGATCTTTGAAAATTAAGGATACATGCCCTCGTTTCCCTTGGTCATTGATATGGTTTGGATTGGTGTCCCCACCCAATCTCATGTCAAATTGTAATCCCCAGTTTGAAGGTAGGACCTGATGGCAGGTGACTAGATCATAGGAATGGTTTCTTATGGATGGTTTGGCACCATCCCTTTGGTGCTGTTCTCATGTTAGTGAGTTCTCAGGAAATCTGGTGGTTTCAAAATGTATGGCACCTCCTCCCTCTCTCTTTCTCTTGATCCTAGCTCCTGCCATGTAAGATGACTGCTTCCCCCTTGCCTTCTGCCATGACTGGAAGCTTCCTGAGGCTCCCCAGAAGCAGAAGCTGCTATGCTTCCTGAACAGCCTGCAGAACTATGAGCCAATTAAACCAGGTTTTTAAATAAATGACTCAGTTTCAGGTATTTCTTGTAACAATGTGAGAATGACCTAATACAGTCATGGAACATCATAAGTAGGAATTCCTCCCACGAGTCCTTTCTTTATACCCTGCGGGGCTGTGGGAGTCCCCACTACCGAAGAGCAGCCTGAGTACTGAGTGTGGGTTGTGAACACTATGGGGTGATAAAGAGTCCCTTTCTTATGTTCCTGCTCAGCCACTGGGTGACGTGACCTTGTGCAAATCCACCCCACTCTAAATCTGTTCTCTTTACCTGTAACAGAAGGATTATGTACAGATCACCTCTAATATCTTTTACAGAACTACAATTCTAATGTATCATCACAGAAAGTTAGCTACACTTTCCTTTGCCTGGACACAGCTTCTTCCCCTCTGTATAGCTATGACTTCCAACCAAATACTCTTGTCGTTCCCACCAAAATAAGGAAAGGGTAGGTTCCTTTGAAAAGAAACAGAATGATTCTGTTGGGAAAGGATCATAACCTATCACACAACTCCTCATCTAACATGAAAATACAGAAATATGTTACATACTGTTACATCTTTAAAATAAAGCTGCCCACTTCATTTTAGTTGTATTACAGAATTCTAATTCTGACACTGCAATTTATGTCTTTTGATGTCTATCAAGAAGATATATTAAAACTCTGGTTAATGAAAAGCAAATGTTTTATATTTATATGACCTCTTTAATCTTTTGCATGAAAAAGGAGGGAACATTAATCTCTGACAAAAGAAGAAGCCTCCGTGTGGAGAGAATAAGGAATAGGTCCCAATGTTAACAGAAATGTTAATTAAAAGAGCTAGTGATCATATTCAATTTCTAGGACCAATTTCTAGATATTCCTAGCATTTATTTTTGTCTCAATTTGAAGTCCCATCAAAAGAAGAAAAACACTCATTTATGGTCTTCATTTTCAGAACAAACTGAGTCTCATTATAAAATGTTCACATTTTTGTACTGCAATTCATCCACTCACAAGAAGGCCAAAGGCAAAAGATTAATGGATCACAAACGACGGCTGCTCTGCATGGCAGAATGATCATCCCCCTCCACCCTGGCATAACACAACATGACCTAGCACCCAGCTCTTCTACAACAAATTGCAACACCCATACTGGACCACTAATACTGTTTTCAAAAAGCTTAATGTTGTGAATTCTTGCATCCTAAAATTCAACATGCATACTGTTTCAATTTATAAATTGTATTCAATTTATAAATGTATACATACTGTTTCAATTACAAACCCCTGAAGATAAGGGTCATGAGAAAATGTTGGCAAAATCTGCTCTGTAGCACTGAATAGCAATTAGTATCAACAATGCTTATGGTGTTTTTGAAGCAGCTTTTGTGTTTCAAATTGTTTACTGAAGGAGTTAATTTTATGTTGAACACCAATAACATTCGGGGAAAAAATAACCTCGAAAACTATTTATATAGCAACCATTAATAAAAATAGCAGTATCATCAGGTGATGTTTTATAAAGCTATAATTAGCTGGTGAGCACATTTATGGAACAGCTGTGATGTAGCAGACCCTGTTAAAATCTGAGATAGGTACAAAATATATAGATGACAGACGTTTTCTTGAAGAAATGTTCCATCTACATGGAGCCCAGCGCATGACAGATAACACTGTAATTTGGTAAGAAAAGGTAAGAAATAGTCTGAAATCAAATTGAGAATGCAAATAGAATGTAAATGCTGAGATTCTATCCAAAGAGGTGTGAACCAACCCAGAAAGCGTTAAGCACATATGGCTACATACTTAGAGTAGCGTGGTTAGGAGGGAGATGAGACTGACAAAACCATTGTACGGCGTAGGGAAAATAGCAAGGATCTCAAGCCTGAAGAAATCTTAAACGACAACAGGAATTTCAGATAGAGATAGGAATAAGCAACTTTTTGGTAAAATCCTTCTGACTAATTCTTCTTTAATCATTGCCTGTGGCAATGAACGAGAAAGATGTTGTCAGTTTAAAGTACCCAGACTGGACACTTAGAGCAAAGATAAGGGTAATGACATTAAGCGTTCATGTTTTCAGGAGATTCCAGAAAAACCTAAATTGCTTGTGATATCTTGGGCTCATATTCATACTTTGGGTTCCACTTCAGAAATTCTAACCGTTATGGAAGAGTAATATCAATTCTACAGATCTTCTGTGATGAATCCCAGAGCAGCCACTTCTCACCTAGTTGGTTTTGCCAAATACTTGTAAATAGTTATACCTGAACCTGAGTCATACAGGAAAGGAAAAGGCTGAAAGTTACTTACATAAATAAATCCTTGATCTCAGCTTCTTTTATTTTACCTTGTTGATTTCACTTAAAGGTGCATTTAAAGGCTTTTGGCAGCAGCCATAAGGGAGAAGCTGGTATTAAATGAATCATTCCACTTAAAAATAAATTATAAGGCTGGGTGCGGTGGCTCATGCCTGTAATCCCAGCACTTTGGGAGGTTGAGGCGGGTGGATCACGAGGTCAGGAGTTCAAGACCAGCCTGGCCAAGATGGTGAAACCCCATCTCTACTAAAAATTCAAAAATTAGCCCAGCATGGTGGCGTGCGCCTGTAATCCCAGATATTCAGGAGGCTGAGGCAGAGAATTGCTTGAACCCAGGAGGCAGAGGTTGCAGAGACCCGATATCGTTATCACTGCACTCCAGCCTGGGCGACAGAGTGAGACTCTGTCTCAAAAATAAATAAATAAATAAATAATAAAACCTGGACAAAATATTTTAAATAACTATTTGTAAGCTTTGGAGGGGAATGAATGAAGGCAGGATGTTAAGAGCTTTGATGTACAAAGGAAGAAAGGTAGAGCTGTGTGAGTTACCAAAAACATACAACCTACCACAATTGAATCTTAAGAAAATTGAACAGACCTATAACAAGTAGACAGATTGAATCAGTAATAAAAGAAAACCTCTCAACAAAGAAAAGCCCAGGATCTGATGGCTTCATTGGTAAATCCTACCAAATATTTTAAGAAGAATTAATACCAATTCTTCTCAAACTCTCCCAAAATATTGAAGATAAGGGAACATTCCAAACTCATTCTACAAGACCAACATTACCCTGACACCAAACCAGACAATACAAGAACACAAAATTATAGGCCAATATCCCCAATGAGCACAGATGTAAAAGTCCTAAACAAAATACTAGCAAGCGAAATTTAATAGGACATTAAAAGAATCATATATGCAATCAAGTAAAATGTATTCCTGGGATATAAGGATGGTATAATATACACAAATCAGTAAATGTGATACATCACATTAAGAGAATGAAGGACAAAAAACATATGATCACCTCAATAAATGCAGAAATAGTGCTTGATGAAATTTCATGATAAAAATTCTCAACAAATCAGATATCGAAAGAATAAATGTACCTCAACTTAATAAAGTCCATATATGACAAGCCCACAGCTAACGTCATAGTCAATAGTGAAAAGCTAAAAACCTTTTTCTGTAAGATCAAGAACAAGACAAGGATGCCTATTCACATGACTTCTATTCAACATAGTACTGGAGGTTTTAGGCAGAGTAATTGGGTAAAAAAAATAAATGAAAGACATCCAAGTTGGAAAAGAAGAAGTAAAATTGCCTCTATTTGCAGATGACATGATCTTATATAGAGAAAACCCTAAAGATTTCATCCAAAAAATTGTTAAATCTAATAAATTCAGTAAAGTTGCAGGATACAAAATCAACATACAAAAACCCCAGTAGTATTTCTATATACTGACAATGAACTACACATAAAAAATTAAGAAAATCCAATGTCCAATAACATCAAAAAGAATAAAATATTTAAGAATACATTTAAATAAGAAATTAAAAATCTATACACTGAAAATTGATGAAATTGAAGAAGGCACAAATAAATGGAAAGATATCCCATGCTCATAGATTGAAATAATTAATATTGTTACAATGTAAGTGCTACCTAAAGCAATCTACAGAGTCAATGCAATCCCTAACAAAATCTAATGTCATTTTTCCAGAAATAGAAAAAAAAAACTCTAAAATTTATGTGGAACCACAAAAGACCCCAAATAGCCAACAAAGCTGAAGGCATCACATTACCTAATTTCAAAATATTCTAAAAAGCTATAATAATCAAAACATTTAGACCAATAAAACAGAATAGAGAGTCCAGAAATAAAGCCACATATTTACAGTCAATTATTCTTTAACAAAGCTGTCAAGAACATACAATGAGTAAAGGACAGTCTCTTTAACACATAGGTCTGGGATAAGTGGATATCTACATGCCAAAAGAATGAAACTGGGCCTTATCTCATATAATATACAAAAATTAACTCAAATGGATTAAAGATTTAAATGTAATACTAGAAACTTAAAACTACTAGAAGTAAACACAGGGAAAAAAAGCTTCTCGTCATTAGGCTAGGCAATAATTTTTTGGATATGACCCCAAAAGCACAAGCAACATGAAAAAATAGACCAATGTGATTGCGTCAAGGTAAAAATCTCACACATAGCAAAGGAAACAACCAAAAGAGTGAAGAGAAAACCTACAGGATAGAAGAAAATACTTTCAAACCACACTCTGGTTTATAAATATTTAAACAGTTAATATCCAAAATACGTAAAGAACTCAAATGACTCAATAGCAAGAAAACAAATAACCCAATTTTAAAAATGGGCAAGGGACCTTAATAGATATCTCCAAAAGAAGCTATAGAAATGGCCAATAGACATATGAAAAAAATGATTAACATTACTAATCATCAGAGAAATGCAATTAAAACCACAATGAGATATCACCTCATGCCTGTTAAAATGGCTATAATCAAAAAGACAAAAGATAGCAAGCATTGGCAAGGAGATGGATGAAAAGGAATTCGTTCATACTGTTTTTGGGAATGTAAATTGGAAAACAGTATGGAAGTTCCTCAAAAAATTAAAATTGAATGACTATATGATCCATCAGTTCCACATCTGGGCATATATCCAAAGGAAATGAACACAGTATGTTGAAGAAATATCTGCACTCCCATGCACTCCCATGTTCACTGCAGCATTATTTACAATAGCCAAGATGTGGAATCAACTTCTGTCCATCAACAGATGAACAGATAAAGAATATGTGATACACACACACACACACACACACACACACACACACAGGAATATTATGCAGCCTTAAAAAAGAAGGAAATCTTGTCATTTATGAAAACATGGATGAAACTGGAGGATACGATGCTAAGTGAAATAAACCAGGTGCAAAAAGACAAATAGTGCATGATCTCACTTACATGTGAAATCTAAAAAATCAAACTCACAGAAGCAGAGAGTAGAATGATAATTACCAGGAGCTGGGGAGAGCAGTTGGGAAATGTGAAGATGTTGGTCAAGGGTACAAAGTTTTGTTTAGACAGGATGACTAAGTTCTGGAAATTTATTGTACAACATTGTGATTATAGTTAATAGTTACATATTGTATATTTGGAAATTGCCGAGAGTGTAGATCTTAAATGTACTTCACCAAAAAAAAGATAACTATGTAAATTGATGGATATATTAATTAGCTTGATTGTGTATTCATTTCACAGTGTATACATATATCAAAACATCACATTGAGCACTAAATACATACGACTTTATGTGTCAATTATGCCTCAATAAGAAAAAAAAGAAATTAAAAACTGCATTCAGCTGTAATACTTCTAGTAGAAATATTGACACTGTTACCTTGAAAATAGAGCAAATAAGAAATGTCAGTAGGAAGTAATATTCTCAGCATGAGAAAAACAGATACAAATATAAAATCAAAATTAGTTGTCTTTTAAATTTTAAAACCCTGTCATCTTTAATGTAAATGAGATATCAGCATGAAATCATTATTTATTTTGTTCTTTCTAAAATACAGATATTCCCTAGTTCCATTCACTAAAAAGGTCTAAAACATCAAATCCAATAAAATTGTAATGTAAGCAACAGGTATAATTATAGATGTTCTAATAGTTACATTTTTAAAAGGTAAAAGAAACTGGTAAAATTCATTTTAATAATATATTTTATTTAATCCAGAATATTCAACATCTTATCATTCTAACATGGAATCAATTTTTAAATGTTAATGAGATATCTTACATTCTTTTTATACCAAGTTTTCAAAATTAAATGTATATTTTTAGACTAACAGAACATTTTAATTTGGATTAGCCACATTTCAAGTGTTCAGTAGCCACATGTGGGTAGAGACTGCTGTACTGAACTTTCAAGGCCAATCCAAGTCTAGATATAAAGAAAACCAAGTAGCTACGAGTACCCCTGGTGACTAAATTGGGGATAACAGAGCAGTGGGAAGGACAAGGGAGAATGAAAATATTCATTTCAGATATTAGTGGTATCATGGTTGGTTTTTTTCCTAATCTTTATCTATTAAAAACACATACTGCATATTTTAGGTTAAATGATACAACGTTTGGCATTAGCATTAAAATATTTAATCAAAAAAGTACAGGAGATAAATGAAACACTCTTTGGAAAATGATAATTGCCAAACCAAGAGATTGGTATGTAAAAATATTTTATGCTCTCTACTTATGCATGCTTGAACATTTTCATATTAAATTTCTTAAAAATGAAATAAAGTAAAAGCGCTTTAAAATATAAAGAGATAAATAGACAATTCAGTTAACCAGTTCCTGATGATCAAATTTTTATGTCACCACTATTAATATTGAATTCTCTTTAAAAAGGGCCATATTGATTATTTTATTATTACATTTTATTAAACTACTTAAAAGTTTTAAAAGTTAATACTGTCCTAACCACAGAATGTTAAAGATTAAATTATGAGTCAAAGACTCAAGTTAATTGTTAGAATAGAAACTTATTAGAAAGCTTACAGAATCTGCAAATCTTTTATTTCCTGGAAAGTGAAACAGCTGTTGAAATGAATCTTATATTAGGTAGGAAATAAAGGAGGGAGAGAAGGAAGGAAGGAAGGAAGGAAAGAAGGAAAGAAGGAAGGAAGGAAAGGAGGGAGGGAGGGAGGGAGGAAGGAAGGAGAGAAGGAAAGGAGGGGGGAAGGAGAAGGGAAGGAGAAGAGACTTCAGAATGTCACACCATTGTCTGGATTTTAACAATGGATCTCAAAATATTGAGATTGCCAAGGTTTTTTAAAAGTTTTTAAACCAAGATAAACTGAGAACGTTGAAGTAATGTCATAACTTCTCTTTATTAAAAATCAATTCTATCCTCAACTGAATAAAGTACATCATACTTAATGGTGAAAGACTGGAAGCTTTCCCAGTATAATCATAAAGAAAACAAAGATGTCCGTTCTCACCACTTCTATTCAACATTCTACTGGAGGTTCTAGTCAGGGCAATAGGCAAGAAAATTAAATAAAAGGCATCCAGATTGGAAAGGAAGAAGTAAGCTTTCTTTACTCAAAGATGACATACATTTTTAGGAAAATCCTAAGGACTCAATTTAAAAACTATTAGAACAAATAAGTTCCACAAGGTTGCAGGGCACAAGATCAATATACAAAACTCGATAGTGTTTCTGTATACTTGAAATGAACAATCCAAAAATAAAATTAAAAAACAATTCCAGGCTGGGCACAATGGCTCATGCCTGTAATCCCAGCACTTTCGAAGGCCAAGGCAGGTGGATCACCTGAGGTCAGGAGTTCGAGACCAGCCTGGCCAACATGGCAAAACGCCATCTCTACTAAAAAATACAAAAGTTAACTGGGCATTGTGGCACATACCTGTAGTTCCAGCTACTTGGAAGGCTGAGGCAAGAGAATCGCTTGAACCCAGGAGGGGGAGGTTGCAGCGGGCTGAGATCAGGCCACTGCACTGCAGCCTGGGTGATGGAGTGAGACTCCAACTCAAAAAAAAAAAAAAAATAAAAAAAATTCATTTACAATAGCTTCAAGAAGGATAAATTACATTTAACAAAAGAAGTGCAAAACGTATACTCTGAAAACTACAAAACACGTTAAAAGAAGTTTTAAATGATTTAAATAAATGGAAAAACATATGTGTCTATGGATAGGAAAACTAGATATTGTTAAATGGCAATAATTCCCAAACTAATCTATAGATTCACACAATCCCTTATGAATTCCCAAATGTCGTTTTTTGCAAACAATGGCAAGCGGATGCTGAAATTCACATGGAAATGCAAGAGATCCAAAATAACCAAAATAACCTTGAATAAAGTTAGACTCACACTTTCTAATTGTAATACATACTACAAGCAATAGTAATCAAGACAGTGTCGTACTGGCAAAGGATAGACACAGATCACTAGAATGCAATTAGAGTATAGCAATAAAGCCATGTACCTATGGTCAACTGATTTTCAACAAGGGTCCAAGACAGTTCAATAGTGGAAAGAATAATGTTTTCAACAAATGGTGCTGGAACAACTGAATATCCACATGCAAAAGAGTGAATTTAAACCCCTACTTCACATCATATACAAAAATTAACTCAACTGGCTCAAATACCTAAATGTTAGAGTTAAAACTATAAAACTCATACATGAAAACATAAGCATAAATCTTTGTGACTTTGTGATCTCAGATATAATACCAAAAACAAAAACAATGAAAGAAAAAATAGGTAAGCTGGACTACGTCAGAATTAAAAACTTTCGTACTTCAAAAGATATTATCAAGAAAGTGGAAACACAACTCACAGAACTGAAGAAAATATTTTGAAATAGTGTATCTGCTAATGTACCAGTATCCAAAATATATAACCCAACTAAGAAATACCAAATCTGAAAAAACATTTCCTCGAAGAAGAAACACAAATGGCCAGTAAACACACGAAAAGGGGTTCAACATCATTAGTTACTACAGAAATGCAAATCAAAAAAAGAACGTGTGTGCAAGCATCTTTTTCGTATAATGACTTCTTTTCCTCTGAATAGATACCCAGTAGTGAAATTGCTGGATCAAATGGTAGTTCTATTTTTTTGTTTGTTTGTTTGAGATGCAGTTTCACTCTTCTTGCCAAAGCTGGAGTGAAACGACATGGTCTCAGCTCACTGCAGCCTCCGCCTCCCAGGTTCAAGCAATTCTCCTGCCTCAGCCTCCCGAGTAGCTGGGATTACAGGTGTGCGCCACCAAGCCAGGCTGATTTTTTGTATTTTTAGTAGAAACGAGGTTTCACCATATTAGCCAGGCTGGTCTTGAACTCCTGACCTCAAGTAATCCACCCACCTCGGCCTCCCAAAATCCTGGGATTACAGGCGTGAGCCACTATGCCCAGCCAGTAGTTCCACTTTTAAAACTACAAATCAGGTTCGGTATTTGAGCAAATACTGCTCCAGTGATGAGTATACCAAAATCTCACAAATCACCACTAAAGAACTTACTCCTGTAACCAAACACCACCTGTTCTCCAAAAACATATGGAAACAAAACAAATTTTTTAAAAAAGAACAATAGTCAAGGTGGGAATGTTGAATAGCACTGTACTGGCATAAAAACAGTGAAAAAAAAAAACTCTTTTGCATAGTCACTTTGTAAGAGTTTGGCAGTTATTCAAAAAATTAAACAGTTACCATATGACCCAGCAATTTCACTACTAGTAACATACCCAAGAGAATTGAAAATATATATTCACACAACTACATGTACATGAATGTTCACAGCAGCATTATTCTTAACAGCTAAGAGCAGAAACAATCACAATGTTCATCAACTGATGAATGGATACACAAAATGTAATATATCCACACAATGGAATATTTTTCATCCATAAACATGCTACAACATGGATGAACCTTGAAAACATTGTGCTAATTGACAGAAGCCAGACAAACTGTGCAGAATAGGCAAATCCATAGTGATAAAAAGTACACTGGTGGATGCCAGGAGCTTCAAGAAGGAGAGAATGAGGACTGACTGCTAATGTGTACAGGGTTTCTTCTGGGTGTGAAAAAAGAAGACAGTGGTGATTATTGCACACTTTGTAAATATACTATAATAAAATCCTATGTGAAGTATATCCCCCAAAAAATCAATTCTATGTCTACCAGATATAGAATTGACTCTACCTTTTAGTTTCTATAGAGAAAAAATATTCATCCCTGCACTTCCAAAGCCTGAGATATCTGTTTCAGTGTCCATCCTTATCTCAGGGTTTCAATTTTTTAAATTATTCATTATTCATTTTCTTTCTAAAATATTTATATACCATCAAAACTGAAGTGCATGATACATTTTCATTGTGTAGTCCTCTTTATAAGTAGTACATTTTATTATTAATTGACATAATTGTATTCATTTATGAGGTACCATGTGATTTTTTTTATACTTTAAGTTCTGGGGTACATGTGCACAACGTGCAGGTTTGTTACATATGTATTCATGTGCCATGTTGGTGTGCTGCACCCATTAATTCATCATTTATATTAGGTATATCTCCTCATGCTTTCCCTCCCCCTGCCCCCCTCCCCCCACCCCACAACAGGCCCTGGTGTGTGATGTTCTGCTTCCCATGTCCAAGTGCTTTCATTGTTCAATTCCCACCTATGAGTGAGAACATGCGGTGTTTGGTTTTTTATCCTTGCAATAGTTTGCTGAGAATGATGGTTTCCAGCTTCATCCATGTCCCTACAAAGGACATGAACTCATCCTTTTTTATGGCTGCATAGTATTCCATGGTGTATATGTGCCACACTTTCTTAATCCACTCTATCATTTATGGACATTTGGGTTGGTTCCAAGTTTTTGCTATTGTGAATAGTGCCACAGTAAACATACGTGTGCATGTGCCTTTATAGCAGCATGATTTATAATCCTTTGGGTATATACCCAGTAATGGGATGGCTGGGTCAAATGGTATTTCTAGTTCTAGATCCTTGAGGAATCGCCTCACTGTCTTCCACAATGGTAGAACTAGTTTACAGTCCCTCCAACAGTGTAAAAGTGTTCCTATTTCTCCACATCCTCTCCAGCACCTGTTGTTTCCTGACTTTTTAATGATTGCCATTCTAACTGGTGTAGATGGTATATCACTGTGGTTTTGATTTGGATTTCTCTGATGGCCAGTGATGATGAGCATTTTTTCATGTGTCTGTTGGCTGCATAAATGTCTTCTTTTGAGAAGTGTCTGTTCATATCCTTCGCCCACTTGTTGATGGGGTTGTTTGTTTCTTTCTTGTACATTTGTTTGAGTTCTTTGTAGATTCTGGATATTAGCCCTTTGTCAGATGAGTAGGTTGCCTGTTCACTCTGATGGTAGTTTCTTTTGCTGTGCAGAAGCTCTTTAGTTTAATTAGATCCCATTTGTCAATTTTGGCTTTTGTTGCCATTACCTTTGGTGTTTTAGACATGAAGTCCTTGCCCATGCCTATGTCCTGAATGGTATTGCCTAGGTTTTCTTCTAGGGTTTTTATGGTTTTAGGTCTAACATTTAAGTCTGTAATCCATCTTGAATTAATTTTTGTATAAGGTGTAAGGAAGGGATCCAGTTTCAGCTTTCTACATATGGCTAGCCAGTTTTCCCAGCACCATTTATTAAATAGGGAATCCTTTCCCCATTGCTTGTTTTTGTCAGGTCTGTCAAAGATCTGATGGTTGTAGATGTGTGGTATTATTTCTGAGGGCTCTGTTCTGTTCCGTTGGTCTATATCTCTGTTTTGGTACCAGTACCATGCTGTTTTGGTTACTGTAGCCTTGTAGTATAGTTTGAAGTCAGGTAGTGGGATGCCTCCAGCTTTGTTCTTTTGGCTTAGGATTGTCTTTAAAGTATGGGCTCTTTTTTGGTTCCATATGAACTTTAAAGTAGTTTTTTCCAATTCTGTGAAAAAAATCATTCGTAGCTTGATGGGGATGGCATTGAATCTATAAATTACCTTGGGCAGTATGGCCATTTTCACGATATTGATTCTTCCTATCTATAAGCATGGAATGTTCTTCCATTTGTTTGTATCCTCTTTTATTTCGTTGAGCAGTGGTTTGTAGTTCTCCTTGAAGAGGTCCTTCACATCCCTTGTAAGTTGGATTCCTAGGTATTTTATTCTCTTTGAAGAAATTGTGAATGGGAGTTCACTCATGATTTGGCTCTCTATTTGTCTGTTATTGGTGTATAAGAAAGCTTGTGATTTTTGCACATTGATTTTGTATCCTGAGACTTTGCTGAAGTTGCTTATCAGCTTAAGGAGATTTTGGTCTGAGACAATAGGGTTTTCTAAATATACAATCATGTCATCTGCAAACAGGGACAATTTGACTTCCTCTTTTCCTAATTGAATACCCTTTATTTCTTTCTCCTGCCTGATTGCCCTGGCCAGAACTTCTAACACTATGTTGAATAGGAGTGGTGAGAGAGGGCATCCCTGTCTTGTGCCAGTTTTCAAAGGGAATGCTTCCAGTTTTTGCCCATTCAGTATGATATTGGCTGTGGGTTTGTCATAAATAGCTCTTATTATTTTGAGAAATGTCCCATCAATACCTAATTTATTGAGAGTTTTTAGCATGAAGCGTTGTTGAATTTTGTCAAAGGCCTTTTCTGCATCTATTGAGATAATCATGTGGTTTTTGTCTTTGGTTCTGTTTATATGCTGGATTACGTTTATTGATTTGCATATGTTGAACCAACCTTGCATCCCAGGGATGAAACCCACTTGATCATGGTGGATAAGCTTTTTGATGTGCTGCTGGATTCAGTTTGCCAGTATTTTATTCAGAATTTTTGTATCAATGTTCATCAGGGATATTGGTCTAAAATTCTCTTTTTTTGTTGTGTCTCTGCCAGGCTTTGGTATCAGGATGATGCTGGCCTCATAAAATGAGTTAGGGAGGATTCCCTCTTTTCCTATTGATTGCAATAGTTCAGAAGGAATGGTACCAGCACCTCCTTGTACCTCTGGTAGAATTCGGCTGTGAATCCATCTGGTCCTGGACTTTTTTTGGTTGGTAAGCTATTAATTATTGCCTCAATTTCAGAGCCTGTTATTTGTCTATTCAGGGATTCAACTTCTCCCTGATTTAGTCTTGGGAGGGTGTATGTGTCAGGAATTTATCCATTTCTTCGAGATTTTCTAGTTTATTTGCGTAGAGGTGTTTACAGTATTCTCTGATGGTAGTCTGTATTTCTGTGGGATTGATGGTGATATCCCCTTTATCATTTTTTATTGCATCTATTTGATTCTTCTCTCTTTTCTTCTTTATTAGTCTTGCTGGTGGTCTATCAATTTTGTTGATCTTTTCAAAAAACCAGCTCCTGGATTCATTGATTTTTTGAAGGGTTTTTTGTGTCTCTATCTCGTTCAGTTCTTCTCTGATCTTAGTTATTTCTTGACTTCTGCTAGCTTTTGAATGTGTTTGTCTTGCTTCTCTACTTCTTTTAATTGTGATATTAGGGTGTCAATTTTAGATCTTTCCTGCTTTCTCTTGTGGGCATTTAGTGCTATAAATTTCCGTCTACTCACTCGTTTAAATGTGTTCCAGAGATTCTAGTATGTTGTGTCTTTGTTCTCATTGGTTTCAAAGAACATCTTTATTTCTGCCTTCATTTTGTTATGTACACAGTATTCATTCAGGAGCAGGTTGTTCAGTTTCCACGTAGTTGAGCGGTTTTGAGTGAGTTTCTTAATCCTAAGTTCTAGTTTGATTGCACTGTGGTCTGAGAGACAGTTTGTTATAATTTCTGTTTTTTTACATTTGCTGAGGAGTGCTTTACTTCCAACTATGTGGCCAATCTTGGAATAAGTGTGATGTGGTGCTGAGAAGAATGTATATTCTGTTGATTTGGGGTGGAGAGTTCTGTGGATGTCTATTAGGTCCACTTGGTGCAGAGCTGAGTTCAATTCCTGGATATCCTTGTTAACTTTCTGTCTTGTTGATCCGTCTAATGTTGACAGTGGGGTGTTAAAGTCTCCCATTATTATTGTGTGGGAGTCTAAGTCTCTTTGTAGATCTCTAAGGACTTGCTTTATGAATCTGGGTGCTCCTGTATTGGGTGCATATATATTTAAGATAGTTAGCTCTTCTTGTTGAATTGATTCCTTTACCATTATGTAGTGGCCTTCTTTGTATCTTTTGATCTTTGTTGGTTTAAAGTCTGTTTTATCAGAGACTAGGATTGCAACCCCTGCCTTTTTTTGTTTTCCATTTGCTTGGCAGATCTTCCTCCATCCCTTTAGTTTGATCCTATGTGTGTGTCTGCACGTGAGATGGCTCTCCTGAATACAGCACACTGTTGGGTCTTGACTCTTTATCCAATTTGCCAGTCTGTGTCTTTTAATTGGAGCATTTAGCCCATTTACATTTAAGGTTAATATTGTTATGTGTGAATTTGATCCTGTCATTATGATGTTAGCTGGTTACTTTGCTCATTAGTTGATGCAGTTTCTTTCTACCATCGACGGTCTTTACAATTTGGCATGTTTTTGCAGTGGCTGGTACCAGTTGTTTCTTTCCATGTTTAGTGCTTCCTTCAGGAGCTCTTGTAGGGCAGGCTTAGTGGTGACAAAATCTCTCAGCATTTGCTTGTCTGTAAAGGATTTTATTTCTCCTTCGCTTATGAAGCTTAGTTTGGCTGAATATTAAATTCTGGGTTGAAAACTCTTTTCTTTAAGAATGTTGAATGTTGGCCCCCACTCTCTTCTGGCTTGTAGAGTTTCTGCCCAGAGATCTGCTGTTAGTCTGATGGGCTTCCTTCTGTGGGTAACCTGACCTTTCTCTTTGGCTGCCCTTAATATTTTTTCCTTCATTTCAACTTTGGTGAATCTGACAATTATGTGTCTTGGAGTTGCTCTTCTCGAGGAGTATCTTTTTGGTGTTCTCTGTATTTCCTGAATTTGAATGTTGGCCTGCCTTGCTAGATTGGGGAAGTTCTCCTGGATAATATCCTGCCGAGTGTTTTCCAACTTGGTTCCATTCTCCCTATCACTTTCAGGTACACCAATCAGACGTAGATTTGGTCTTTTCACACAGTCCCATATTTCTTGGAGGCTTTGTTCATTTCTTTTTACTCTTTTTTCTCCAAACTTCTCTTCTCGCTTCATTTCACTCATTTGATCTTCAATCACTGATACCCTTTCTTCCAGTTGATCGAATCAGCTACTGAAGCTTGTGCATTCATCACATAGTTCTCGTGCCATGGTTTTCAGCTCATCAGGTCATTTAAGGACTTCTCTACACTGGTTATTCTAGTTAACCATTCATCTAATCTTTTTTCAAGGTTTTTAGCTTCTTTGCATTGGGTTCGAACTTCCTCCTTTAGCTCGGAGAAGTTTGATCGTCTGAAGCCTTCTTCTCTCAACTCGTCAAAGTCGTTCTCCATCCAGCTTTGTTCCATTGCTGGCGAGGAGCCGCGTTCCTTTGGAGGGGGAAAGGAGCTCTGATTTTTAGAATTTTCAGCTTTTCTGCTCTGTTTTTTCCCCATCTTTGTGGTTTTATCTACCTTTGGCCTTTAATGATGGTGACGTACAGATGGGGTTTTGGTGTGGATGTCCTTTCTGTTTGTTAGTTTTCCTTCTAACAGTCAGGACCCTCAGCTGCAGGTCTGTTGGAGTTTGCTGGAGGTCCACTCCAGACCATGTTTGCCTGGGTATCAGCAGCGGAGGCTGCAGAATAGCAGATATTGCTGAACAGCAAATGTTGCTGCCTGATCATTCCTCTGGAAGCTTCATCTCAGAGGGGTACCCGGCCGTGTGAGGTGTCAGTCTGCCCCTACTGGGAGGTGCCTCCCAGTTAGGCTACTCGGGGGTCAGGGACCCACTTGAGGAGGCAGTCTGTCCATTCTCAGATCACAAACTCCATGCTGGGAGAACCACTACTCTCTTCAAAGCTGTCAGACAGGGACATTTAAGTCTGCAGAGGTTTCTGCTGCCCTTTGTTTGGCTATGCCCTGCCCCCAGAGGTGGAGTCTACAGAGGCAGGCAGGCTTCCTTGAGCTGCGGTGGGCTCCACCCAGGTCGAGATTCTGGGCCACTTTGTTTACCTACTCAAGCCTCAGCAATGGCGGGCGCCCCTCCCCCAGCCTCGCTGCTGCCTTGCAGTTCGATCTCAGAGTGCTGTGCTAGCAATAAACGAGGCTCCGTGGGCGTGGGACCCTCCAAGCCAGGCATGGGATATAATCTCCTGGTGTGCCATTTGCTAAGACTTTTGGAAAAGTGCAGTATTAGGATGGGAGTGACACGATTTTCCAGGTGCCATCTGTCACCCCTTCTCTTGGCTAGGAAAGGGAATTCCCTGACCCTTTGCACTTCCTGGGTGAAGCGATGCTTTGCCCTGCTTCGGCTCACACTTGGTGGGCTGCACCCACTGTCCTGCCTCCACTGTCTGACGAGCCCCAGTGAGATGAACCCAGTACCTCACTTGGAAATGCAGAAATCACCCATCTTCTGTGTCACTCATGCTGGGAGCTGTAGACTGGAGCTGTTCCTATTTGGCCATCCTCTAATGGACCGTGATATTTTGATATACATATACAATGCATACTGATCAAATTAGAGTAATTAGTACACCTCAAACGTTTATCATTTCTTTGTGTTGGGAACATTCAAATTCTTTTCTTCTAGCAATTGGAAAATATACAATAAATCATTATTAACTATAGTCACCCTGTAGTGCTATAAAACATTAGAATGTATTCCTCCTAATTAGAATTTTGTATCCATTAACCAAGGTCTTTCTATCCCTCAATCCTCATGTCCTTCCCAGCATCTAGTAACCACTATTCTACTCTCTGCTTCTATGAGATCAATGTTTTTAGCTACCACATGAGTGAGAACATGTGCTATTTGTCATTTTATGTCTGGCTTACTTCACTTAACATAATGTCCTCCAAGCTGATCTATGTTGCTGTGAATGACAGATTTCATTCTTTTTTATGGCTGAATAGTATTCCATTCTGTATACATACCACATTTTCATTATTCATTCATCGCTTGATGGACTTTTAGGCTTATTCCACATCTTGGCTATTGTAAATAGTGTAGCAATAAACATGGGAGTGCAGATAGTTCCTCAAAATACAGATTTTCTTTCCTTTGTATACATGTCCAGTAGTGGGATTGCTGGTTCATATGGCAGTTCTATTTTCAGTTTTTTGAGAAACCTCCATATTGTTCTCCATAATGGCTGTACTAATTTACATTCCCACCAATAGCGTATGAGTTTCCTTTTTTCCACATCCTCACAAGCATTTTTTATTTTTTGTAATTTGATAATAGCCATTCTACCTGGGGTAAGATTATATCTCAGTATGGTTCTGATTGGGATTTCCCTGATGATTAGTGGTGTTGAACAGTTTTTTTATATATCTTTTGGCCATTTGTATGCCTTCTTTTGAGAAATGTCTATTTGGGTCTATAGCCCATTTTAAAAATCAAAACATTTGGTTTTTTGGTGTTGGGTTGTTTGAGTTCCTTATATTTTCTGATTATTAATCTTCCATGGGATGGAGAGTTTGCAAATATTTTCTCCCATTCTGTGGGTTGTCTCTTTGCTTTATTGGTTCTTTTGCTGTGCAGTAACTTTTTAGCTTGATGTAATCCCATTTGTCTATTTTTACTTTTTTTCCCTGTGCTTTTGAGGTCTTATACAAAAAAATTTTTGCCCAGACCAATGTCCTGTAGTGTTTTACCATTGTTTTCTTTTAGTAGTTTTATAGTTTCAAGTCTTACATTTTAGTCTTCAATCTATTGGGAGTTGTTTTTTTATATAGTGAGAGAAGGATCTAGTTTCACTCTTTTGCATATAGATATCCAGTTTTCCCAGCACCGCTTATTAAAGAGACTGACCTTTCCTCAATGTATGTTCTTGGAAACTTTATTGAAAAGGAGCTGGCTGGAAGTGTGTGGATTTATTTCTGGGTCCTCTATTCTGTTCCATTGGCCTGTGTATCTGTTTTTATGCCAGTACTATGCTATTTTTGTTACTATAGCTTTGTAGTATAATATAATTTGAAATAGGATAACGTGATGCCTCCGCTTTGTTCTTTGTGTTCAAAATTGCTTTAGCTATTAGAGGTCTTTTGTGTTTACATACAAATTTTAGGATTGGTTTTTCTATTTCTGTGAAGAATGTCATTGGTGTTTCTGTGGTGATTGCACAGAATTTGTAGATCCCTGTGGGTAGTTCAGACACTTCAACAATATTAATTCTTCCAATCAATGACCATGAAATATCTTTCCATTATTTTGTATGTGTCCTCTTCAATTTCTTTTATTAGTGTCTCATAGTTTTTCTTGCAGATATTTTTCACTTCTTTGGTTAAATTTATTTCTAAGTATTTTTACAGCTGTTGTAAATGAGATTGTTTTCTTGATTTATTTTGCAAATTGATCACTGTTAGCATATTGAAATGCTACTGATTTTTGTATCCTACAAATTTACTGGATTTATTTATTCATTCTAAGGATTTTTTTATGGATTCTTTAGGTTTTTCTAAATATAAGATCATTTTGTGTCCAAACAAGGATTATTTGACTTCCTCTTTCCTGATTTGGAAACCCATTGTTTCTTTCTCTTGCGTAATTGTGCTGGCTAGCACTTCCAGTGGGCATCCTTATCTTGTTCCAGGTCTTAGCGGAAAGGCTTTTCATTTTTCCCCATTCAGTATGATGTTAGCTGTAGGTCTGTCATATATGGCCTTTATTGTGCTGAGGTATATTCCTTCTCTATCCAATTTGTTGAGAGTTTTTGTCATAAAAAAATGTTGAATTGTATCAAATGCTTTTAAAGCATCTATTGAAATGATCATATGTTTTTTGTCCTTGATTATGTTGATGTGGTGAATCACATTTATTAATTTGCATATGTTAAGCCATCCTTGCATCTCTGGGATGAATCCCACCTGATTATGGTGAATGATCTTTTTTTCCTTCAACTTTTATTTTAATTTCCAAGGTACATGTGAAGGATGTGCAGTTTTGTTACATAGGTAAATGTATGCCACAGTGGTTTGCTACACATATCAACCCATCACCTAGGTATTAAGCCCAGCATGCATTAGCTACTCTTCCTGATGCTCTCCCTCCCCAACCCTGACAGGACTCAGTGTGCATTGTTCTTTCCACTGTGTCCATGTGTTCTCATCATTCAGCTCCCACAGAAGTGAGAACATATGGCATTTGGTTTTCTGTTCCTGTGTTAGTTAGCTGAGGATAATGGCTTCCCACACATGTTCCTGCAAAGGACATGATCTCATTCCTTTTTATGGCTGCATAGTATTCCATGGTGTATATGTACATTTACTTTATCCAGTGTATTGTTGATGGGCATTTGGGTTGATTCCATGTCTCTGCTATTGTGAATAATGTTACAATGAACATATATGTGCATGTATCTTCATAATAGAATGATTTATATTCCTTTGGGTATATACCCAGTAATGGTATTGCTGGGTCAAATGATATTTCTGTTTCTAGATCTTTGAGGAATCACCACACTGTCTTCCACAATGGTTGAACTAATTTACTTTTCCACCAACAGTGTAAAAGTGTTCCTTTTTCTCTGCAAACTTGCCAGCATCTGTTGTTTCTTGACATTTTAATGTTTGCTGAAGCCGATCTGCTAGTATTTTGTTGAAGATTTTTGTATCTATGTTTGTCAGGGATATTGGCCTGTTGTTTTCTTTTTTTGTTTGTTTTTGGTTTTTGTTTGTTTGTGTGTGTGTGTGTTTCCCTATCTAGTTTTGGTATAAGGGTGTCCTCCTAAGCCGAGTTTAGAAGTTTTCCCTCCTCTTCCATTTTTTGAAATAGTTTGAGTAGAACTGATATCAGTTCTTTTAGTAAGCGGTAGAATTCAACAGTGAAGACATCAGATCCTGGGTTTTTCTTTGATAAGTGACTTTTTTTATCACTGCTTTGATATCACTACTCCTTACTGGTCTGTTCGGGTTTTCTATTTCTTCATGGCTCA
This sequence comes from Homo sapiens, assembly GCF_000001405.40. NCBI lineage: Eukaryota > Metazoa > Chordata > Mammalia > Primates > Hominidae > Homo > Homo sapiens. The sequence continues at coordinate 63,148,588 of NC_000014.9, forward strand.
ATCTTAGTAGGTTGTATGTGCTAAGGAACATATCCATTTCTTCTGTGTTTTCCAATTTATTGGTGTACAGTTGTACATAGGAGTCTCTACTGATCCTTTTTACTTCTGCAGTGTCCATTGTAATGTTCCCTTTTTCATCTCTCATTTTATTTGTTTGAATCTTCTCTTTTTTCTTAGTCTAGCTAAAGGTTTGTCAATTATCTTTTTCAAAAACCAACTTTTCATTGTTTATCTTTTATGTTGTTTTTACTGTCTATTTATTTCTGCTCTGATCTTATTTCTTTTCCTTCTACTAATTTTGGGTTTGATTTCTGTTTTTCTAGTTCCCTAAGGTGCATCATAAGGTTGAAGTCTTTCTATTTTTTGATGGAGGAATTTATGTCTATAAATTTCCCTCTTAGTACTGCTTTTGTTGTATTCCACATGATTCTCATATGTTGTGTTTCCATTTTCATTTGTCTCAGGATAGTTTTTTAATTTTCTTCTTAATTTCTTCGTTGGCCCATTAGTCATTTGGGAACATGTTTAATTTCTGTGTATCTGTACAGTTTCCAAAGTTCCTCTTGTTATTGATTTCTAGTTTTATTCCACTGTGATCAGAAAAGATACTGAGTATGATTTCTACTTTTGTAATTTGTTGAAACTTGTTTTGTGGTCTAAGATATGGTTTAGCCTGTGGAATGTTTCATTTTCTAATATGAAGAATGTGTATTCTGCAGCAGTTGGATGAAATGCTTTTTAGATGTCTATTAGGTTCATTTGAACTAGAGTATAGTTTAACTCCAATATTTGTTGATTTTCTGCCTGGATTATCTGTCTATTGCCAAAAGTGAAGTGTTGAAGTCTCCTACTATTATTGTTTTGCAGTCTATCCCTCCCTTTAGATCTATTAATATTTGCTTTATATAGTTGGATGTTCTGGTGTTGTGTGTATATATATTCACCATTGTTATGTTCTCTTGCTGAATTGACCCATTTGTTGTTATATAATGAACTCTATGTCTCTTTTTACAGTTTTTGATTTAAAGTCTACTTTATCTGATATAAGTATAGCAATTATCTGCTCTTTTTTATTTTCATTTGCACGGAGTATCTTTTTCCATCCCTTCATTTTCTGTCTGTGTGTGTCCTTACATGTGAAATCTGTTTCTTGTAGGCAGAATATAGTTGGGTCTTGCTTTTTAATCTGTTCAGCCATTCTACATCTTTTAGTTATAGGGTGTGATCTATTTACACTCAATATTATTGATAGGTATGGACTTATTACTGCTATTTTGTTACTTGTTTTCTATGTGTTTTGTAACTCCTTTCTTCTTTTCTTACTGTCTTCCTTTGTGGTTACATGATTTTTCTCCCATAGTATGTTTGAATCCATTGCTTTTTATTCTTGTTATATCTATCATAGGTTTTTGCTTTGCACTTACCTTGAGGCTTACCAAAAAAAATCCTGTAGTTACAACAAGTTATTTAAAACTGATATAAACTTAAATTTGATCACAATAAAAGGAAAAGAACAAACAAACAAACAAAAATCATGTACACATTAACTCCCTGTACATGTTAACATTGTTATTCCCCACCTCATTTGTGACCTTGGAATAAATTTGCAGACCTGGGAAACGGAAATCATGTTTGGTGACTAAAAAGTACTACATTTATATTGATTCTAATTTTGATGAATAAACAACTCTGAAGAGTTCTGATTCAACTAGAAACACAGCAGCATTTTATTTCTGAATCTTCTCATCACAAAGAGCAGCAAAGAAAGTAAAAAATAAACCTACAAAGTAAGAGAAAGAAATCATAAAACTTCACATTGCAAATAATTGGTACCAAAGATGCAGTGGAATGGGAAGTGAGGAACAGGGAGAACAGAGAAGGCCTAATGGGAAATGACCTCAGAAACAGCCAGCAAATATAGTACATTTTTTAAAAGCTGGGGTAGCTTTGGAAGGTTAGGATTCTATCTCTTGTTGGTTATGGTCTTAATGAACCCAAGGCCAGTAAGAGAAATACATAAAAATGAGATCACACAGGAGGGCCAAATGTCAAGTCTTTTGCCACAACATCAGAAGAGGAAGCCCTTGAGCTAAGAAGCCTACAAATCTATCCTGGCCTCACCCCTCCATAGTAATCTCTTGTTAAACATCACTAAAATATGAGTAACAAAAAAGAAATGTGCCCTACATTCTCATAAAGATACTACAGAGAAAATTTTAAAAATGAAAAAGAACAATATAGCCTTCTTAAAGACAATGAAAACACCAGAAAAATCATTGACAGAAGGCAGATAAAAAGTGCAACCTAATATTCCAACTGAGAATTTTAAACCTTTATGCATCAATTGAAACTATAAGGATAAATATCAAAACATAGAGAAGAGATGGCTACACAAGAAGACATGACAGTAGATAACAGGAGGGCATGAAACAAGAACTGACGGAACGTATGAAAGAAACAGAAGAAAAATACAAAGCCAGGTCCAAAATGACGACTAAACTATAGGAAATACTAAGAATAATAGATACCATAGAAAACCACAGTAAGGATACAGAAAACAGAAATAAAATCCAACAAAATGCAAAATAAAATAGAAATAGGAAGGAAAAGGCCCATACATATATATAATTTAAAAATTATACAGGAAAAAAAGGACTGAAAGGAATATATGTATATTCCTTCTATATATGTATATGTATTCTTATACTTTTTCTTAACCTTATATATATATATACATACATACACACACGTACACACACACACATATATGGTTGTATACACAAGTATAAATAGTTGCTGATGATAAAAACCAACTCATGGAACTTAATAAGCACTCAAGCTATTTCAACAAAAAAACCTTTCCTGAAATTAAATAAAGACAGAAAAGAAGAAACTAAGGAAAGAAAGAGGAGCATGGAGGGAAGAGAGGAGGGAATGAAGCAAGCAGACTGAGTTGAATCTGCATATAGAAAAAATATAGATTTATTGAATATCAGGGAAAACCAACCCAGAATGGCCAACCCTGAGACTATCCTAGTAAAATTATTCGAACTTCAAAATAAGAAAAAGAATTCTTTGGGCAACCAGGTAAAAATAACAAGTCACTAATAGGAGAAAGAAATCAGGTTAGTTGAGGTTTATTGACAACAACACTCAACAAAGGCCACAGAAAACATGACAGCAACACCTACAAGATACTCATGAGAAAAGGGTATAAGACAAGGATTTTATATCCAGCTCAACTCCTCTTAAAGTTTAAAGGCTACAGACAACTACAGTCAGTTATTATTTGTGATAGTTATATTCTACAAAGTCTTTGCAGATACTGAATTAGCATATACTGAATAATTGATCCTAGGGGAAATCTAGGGTTAGGTTCCTGCAAGCCAATGGTCATAACATTTTCATCAATATAGCCTTGTTTTATGTGGGCTTCTGTTTAAAGATGCCTTATTTAATATATATTGTTGATGCATTATCATTTAACTCAATCAACAGCACTATAATTTATGCCTAAACAAAGCTTATCTAAAACATCTATTTTCTCCAGAAGGCACATTATAGCCTTCTTGCCACTAGGAATACTCAACAGCACTTCAGCACTATCTTGAGGGCCATCTTAAAAGTGAAATCACCAACAAAAGCACAAAAATGCAAAAAACATAGCAACAAATTGGCCATTCAGAGGACAGTTGTCCACAGTATGAGAGCTGAAAAAAGAAGACAGGTCTCAGCTGAGAATGTACACATTAAGCAGGTTGGGAAACTCAAATTTTTTACCACTCTGCGCACATCCTTAAGGTGATCCCAAAAGTACAGATTTACGGAAAACAAATGAATTTTAGCAAGTCAGAAAATTCTAACATTTATGTTGGAATCCACGAACAATGGAGATTGACTATAGTTTTGAAAATTCAAGAGTTTGGGAAATACTGTTCACATGAAAGTTTCATTAAGAAACCTCTTGAGTACAAACTAGCAAACCAAAGATAAATTGGATCAATTAAAATTAGACGGTGAATTGAGGAGCTGGGGAAAAGAACAGAAAGTAATATTATCATTGCTCATGTGAGAATAATTATTGTTTTAAATAAGAGGGGAATGAGAGTATAAGGTAAAGGTAATCTTTGGATTAAAAATTAAAACTTCCTAAATATCAAAGGGAAATGACTGCAATTGAAAAAGTCAGAAAAAAAAAGTTTTGTATAGTATACATTTTTTAAACTTGTATATAGAAACACAGAAAACATAACACAAAATGACAGAACTAAGACCAAACATACATTTCTATCAATGTATGTATATAAGCTTAAGTAATCTATTAAAAGGAAAAGATCTTCTGATAAGTCACAAAACAGAATTCAATGCTATACTTTATACAAAACACATGTCTAAACTACGTAATTTTAAAAGCTTAAATACATTTTTAAAAAAAGAAAAACACAAAGTAAAATAATAGGAGTTGTGATCATAATATTAAACAAGGTAGAATTCAGGCCAACCATCAAGAGACCAAAAAATGGCACTATATTGCTAAGGGTACGATTCACAATGAAAACAAAACAGCTATAAATGTTTGATGCCCATATTTAGAGTTTATTGATACTTTTGTAAGAAGAGAGATCATACTTCATAGGGAACTACAGAATGTCTCAGTAAGTTAGGCAGGGCTTGTTATAGGATTGGGGTCTGTTATAGGGTTCAAGGACCTGTGGTTTTGCTGTTAATCAGGTGATGTCAGAAAGTGGCAACAATTCTATAACCAGGTATCTTAGTGATATTTATCTACAAATCAGGAAGACCAAGAACAGCTGAAGCTATCATTGGTAACAAAGCAACAGTTGTTCATGTTAGCTGGGAGAGGGGGATGCGTGGTCATTTTTCTGATTTGCACAGTGTTCTTATTTTTGTCTTTGTTCACACATGATTATGGAGTGGTCTTGTTTTGTCCAACTCCATTGTTGTCACAGGGCACCTCTGTCTCATGTTGATATTGTAAAATTGTGTAAGTTCAACAGCAGAACATCATGGGCTAGCTGTAAGAGTCATGCCAGGTACCAATTGACACCTATTGGGGGCTGCTCCTTTTTCTCAATATTTATACACAAAAAAAAAACAGAGTAGCAATTTTCATGAACCAGAACTTACAGAAAAAGGATATGTTGAGATACTAATAACAGGAGATATAGACTTACCTCTCTTGGTCTAAGATAGATCAATTTGAACTAAAAATAATGACATAAACTACCTAAAGAACATAATCTACAATGCAGAGCTGAGTGACATATACCAAGATTTTATCTGAAAATAGAGAATACAACTTACCTTCAAGTGTACATGGAACACTCATGAAAATTGAATACATATTAGTTCACAAAGAAAACCTTAATAAATTCCTTAAAAGAGGCCGGGCACAGTGGCTCAAGCCTGTAATCTCAGCACTTTGGGAGGCTGAAGCGGGTGGATCACGAGGTCAGGAGTTCAAGATCAGCCTGGCCAGCATGGCAAAACCCCATCTCTACTAAAAATATAAAAAATTAGCCAGATGGTGGGTGCCTGTAATCCTAGCTACTCAGGAGGCTGAGGCAGGAGAATCACTTGAACCTGGGAGGCGGAGGTTGCAGTGAGCCGAGATCGTGCCATTGCACTCCAGCCTGGGTGACAAGAGCAAGACTCCAGTTCAAAAAAAAAAAAAGAAAGAAAAAAAGAAGTAATACAGATAACTTATTCTGATAATAATGAATTAAAACTGGAAATTAATTACAAATTCAAAAAATGAAAACTCCTGATCTTTTAAGTCAAATGGAAAATGTAAAGAAAGCCTATAAATTTGCTAGAAAACACTATTAATGAAAACAGTATCAGACCCTATAGAATAAAACAAAAGCAATACTCAGAAGAAAATTCTTAAAATACTTATATCATTAAAACATAAAAATAATTAAGACATGCATCTCAAAATTTTTTAAAAGAATAACAAAATAAGTCAAAAATAAGGTAAATAAAGGAATTAAGAAAGACAAAGGCAGAAATGAATGAATTTGAACAGAATATCAATAGAGCTAATACCTAAAACAATAATAATATTTATTAAGAGATACTATATACAAGCACTGTACTAAGCCCTGGCAATAAAGAGATGCAAGACAGAATTAATACATAAATAAATAAATGAAAGGGTAAACAGTTCCTTACTTTAGACAGTTTTCCTAATTAAATTCCCCTTCATAGATATGTTTTACAAGTATCTATGATACTGATACTACATACTTGATATGTTTTACAAATATCTATGATACTGATACTACATACTTGATATGTTTTACAAATATCTATGATACTGGTACTACATACTTGATATGTTTTACAAATATCTATGATACTGATACTACATACTTGATATGTTTTACAAATATCTATGATACTGATACTACATACTTGATATGTTTTACAAATATCTATGATACTGATACTACATACTTGATATGTTTTACAAATATCTATGATACTGATACTACATACTTGATATGTTTTACAAATATCTATGATACTGATACTACATACTTGATATGTTTTACAAATATCTATGATACTGATACTACAGTACATCAGTATGTACTGATACTATATAATTGAACACTTTCACAGCCATGAAAGGAACTCTTTTTGATTGTCACTATAAAAGACTTCTGAGATAACTTTAAACTTAAATATAAACTTCCTAGACAAAATCACAGGCTCTAATTTTATAAATCTCTTTTCTTCTCATGTCAACAGTTAAAATCTGTGGAACATAAACATTTGTCTAAAAACAGAAAATCAGCTACTGTTTGTGGGAAAAATAAGTTTATAGTTCCCAATAATTTAATGTGAGAAAGATAGGCAGGCAGACAGAGATAAGAAGGATAGAGTTTAAGAAAAGTCATAACTCTTCTAATCATGCTTTATTTTTCCATTGTCTGAAAGATCGTGAGTCAGCTATACAAATTTTTTGAGCAAGAGAAAAAATATAAGGATTTGAGGAAGCCCTGGAAATGAACCCAATAATCATGAAGACAAAACATTTCCCTCCTACTGGGTTTTTCCCATCAGTCTCTAAACATCCCTAAAAATGTACTCAAAATGACTCATCACTTTCTGTGTGAGGAGGGCTGTGAGCCTCACCAGCAGTACCATGCGGACCATGTGTAGGGCAGATAGTGCCAAGGGCCCAGAAACACTGTATCCTACATGGTTTCCAGGTTGGTTCCAGAATCAACTGTCTGTATCGAACTCAATGGTAAAGGAGACACCTGCAGAAGGAACTGAGACAGGAGCTGCTCTTCTAGGTGGATCTTCAGGAGTGAAAGGAAGAAGGAACACACTGAGCAACTCCTGAGGTTTTCTAGACACCACCCTCGTGCTCAAGCATGCCTGAGGTGGGCGGGCTGAAAGCAGTGAAAGCAGAAAGATCCTTCATTCCTATCCAGTGCTTCCAGAAGAGGGACTCTGATTCTTTTGGAGAAGTAGTATATGGCAGATGTCAAAAGTAACCCACCTACTTATGCAGAGTCTCTGGAGGCATGCTGCCTTAGGGTCCAGAGATGACAGATAGATAGACAGATAGATAGATAGGATAGACAGATAGATAGATAGATAGATAGATAGATAGATAGATAGATAGATAGATAGATAGACAGACAGACAGACAGACAGGTTTCTCCACCCCCTGCACTGAACTTCTTCCTCTAACTAATGCCCTCTTTTCCACTTTCACCAGCATCTATCTTAGCTGTCTCCATGATTCTAATTTCTGTTCATTTTTCAGCCTGGTATGTGCTAGCCTCTGCCCCCATCGTTCTTTTTTCCCCAGCCACATGGAGGTATAATTGACAAATTAAAAACGCATATATTTGTATGCACCTTAGAGTGTACAACATGATGTTTTGATGTACATATACATTGTGAAATGATGATTACTACAATCAACCTAATTAACATATCCATCACCCCACATAGTTACCTTTTATATGTGTGTGTGGTGAGTATATTAAAATCTAAGTGTTAGATGTCTGGCAAATTTCAAGTATAAAATACATTATTATTAACTATAGTCACCTTGCCATACCATAGTTCTCCAGAACTCATTCATCTTATAACTGCATGTTTGTACCACTTGACCAACATCTCCTTATTCTCCCCACCCCCTGAACACAGGTAACTACCCTTCTACTCTCTGTTTCTACAAGCTCAACTTCTTTAGATTCCACGTATACGTGAGATCTTGCAGTATTTGTCTTTCTATGCCTGGTTTATTTCAACCTTAAGCAGAACATCCTTCAGGTTCGTCTATGTTGTCACAAATGGCAAGATTTTCATCTTTTTTAAGACTAAGTAATATTCATACACACAAACACACACACACACACACACACACACACACAATGTATATATAACATTTTGTCCATTCTTTGGTCAACAGACACATGGGTTGTTTCTGTATGGATGTCCCCACTCCACATCTCTTGTTCCCTCTTAGGAGGAGCAAGGGGCATTTTAAAGATCATATGCCTTCCCTCAAACCCACAAAGCCAGGCCAGGTCCTGAGAGCCTCCCATTTTTCTTCCCTAGGACAATACCCTGAAATGCTCGAGTTTGTGTGCCTTCTTCCAGTCCTGCAGGGTCAAGCCAGTTGTCAGCCAGGACACATGTACTTGCTTTCCATGAGGGTATGCTCAGAGAACCGGACTGGAGTAGGGGGAAGAAGCATGCAGAGTGTTTGGGGGACTTGTGGGCCAGCTGGAGGTGGGGTACACAGGCAAGGCCTCCTGGGTGGCTGTAGTCAGGCTTCCTGAGGGAGTTTGTAGGGCAGTTAGCAAGGTTTGCAGCCTCTCTTCCTCCTCCCAACCTCTCCCAACCACTCAGCCATGCCAATCACCCCAGTATTCTGGGTGGGGTGAGAAGGAAGCAGGTCTCTTGGGGGCAAGGTCCCACATAGCTGGGGGAGCCAGGGGTCACTCACTGCACTCTCACTTTCTCCCACTGGAGAAATCGAGGGCCAAGGGGAAGGAGTGATGTGGATAAAGTGAAGCTGTTCTTCTTATCCTCTTCAATCATCTATCTATTCTCAGATTTTTTGCTCCAGTCATGTGCTGGAACTTCTCTACTGGACTCCCAGATTCCCCCAGTGGTACTCCCCTCTGTGGGTAGCTGTCAAAATAGATGTTTCTGTGGAGGGACAACAGTAGAAAGGTCCTAGACCACCATCATGCTGACATTGGCACCATCATTCTTCAAAATTGCTTCTTGGTGAAACCCCATCTCTACTAAAAATACAAAAATTAGCCGGACGTGGTGGCACGTGCCTGTAATCCCACCTACGTGGGAGGCTGAGGCAGGAGAATCACTTGAACTTGGGAGGCAGAGGTTACAGTGAGCCAAGATCGTGCCACTGCACTCCAGCCTGGGCAACAGAGTGAGACTTCATCTCAAAAAAAATTAAATTAAATTAAATTAAATTGCTTCTACCGAGCTCACTCATGACCCTTTAATTACTAAAGCCAGTAAAGGCTTGTGGCTTCTTCGGCAGACCTTCTGCTAGCCTTGACACTGTCCACTGTCCTTGTTTGTGAAACTCCTCCCTCGGCTTGTGAAGCCCACTCTCTCTGAGTGTTCTCCTTCTCTCCAGTAGCATCTTCTTAGCCTTTTAAGCTGGCTCCTCCTGATCTGCTTGCCCTTGGAATGGTGGCATCCCCCAGGAACTTATCTTTGGCTTCTTCTCACCTCACAATTTTCCTGGGCCCTTACCTACTCCAGTGACTCCAACTATCAATATGTTGATTTCCAAATTTACATCTGCATGGCTTCTCATGCCTGGTTTCTTATTAATCCCATCAGTTCCACCTCCTATTAAAAGACAGAGGAATGTGGTAGTTAAAACCATGGACTCTGGAGATAGAATGCCTGGGCCGTGGGGCCTTAGGGAAGTCACCTAAGCTCTCTCTGTGCCTCAGTTTTCTCATCTGTAAAATGGAAGGGGGAGAGTAATAATAGTACCTACTTCATAGAATTGTTGTTCAGATTGAGTTAATGTATATAAAGTACCTAGAACAGGACCTGAAACATAATAAGCGCAATGTATTTGCTAATTTTTTAAAGTTCGGCATCGCTGTTTAGTATCTCCTGTAAGCATCTCAAGTTAATTTCCTAAATCTATCTTCAATATATTCATTTAACATACTCATTTTCTCTCCACCTCTAGTGCTCATACCTTAACCAATTCCAACTATTTGGTATTGCAAATGTCAGGCCATACTTACCACTCAAGCTTTATTTCTGGCCATTTTTCCCATACCCATCAACCCTACCCTTTGACTACACAACAGAAACTGAGATCCAGTTCATGCCTCTTTAACCATGTCATGCTCTTGATTCAGAGCCCTTATCTTCTCTTCTGGCTTACTCTGCCTGGAAGCTTCTGCCTCTTTCATTCCTCTCTACCTGGAACACCTAATCATCACTTTCACGCAGAACGACTTGGACATAGTTGTACAGCCTATGCACTGAAGAACTTTAGCGTACTCTATTCACATCTTAGTCTATGTGGCCAGAATTTCTTGAACTTGTGTAGTGTGTACACAGTCATACACGATGGTCCTGGACCACCCTGCCTTATCCAGAAAACTTTTGCTTATAAGTCTCTGCTTAGAGATCCCTTCCTTCAGGACATTCTTCTGGCCTCTTGATCAAATCAAAGCCTGTTTTCTGCTATACCTGTTTTCTGCCCACCTTTGGCACCTCATGCTGTTAATAGTAGCCCTTTTCACAAAATGTTGCAACATATGTTTTCTTATGTAGCCCCTACTAGACTCTTGGTGGTTCAGCGTGTCCAAACCAAACTCCATAACTTCTCTTCACCCCAACTTTGACCACTCATTCACTCTTTATCACCCAAACTTCCTTTCTTTTATATTCTCTATTTATACAGAACCATCTCTTCATCATATTTTCAACCAACCCCTTGACAAATTTCTTATCTTCCAGCCATAATTAGTAAATACCCATAGGATTTTTATATCTATTTCCATGAGAGCACATTCCACCTCAGTTATATCATAATTTTTGTTTATGTGCTAATCTCTCCATAGGCCATGGACTTAATAAAGGCACAGGGTCACCTCCCTATCACCAGTACCTAACACGCTGCTTGAAACTATGTTGTTTGAACTTAACATCTTTAAATATGTAATAAATAAATATAACAAAATAATTCGTAGGATTTAGAATAAACTATAAATCTGTATAAACCATTTGTTAGGACTTCACTAATTCACTCATATGCCTTGAGACCTTGGTTTTTTTCTTTTTAATATATTTCATTTATTTATAATACTGGTTTTTATTCAGAAAAAATACTGAAATGTGAATTTTGTAATAACTAAATTAACATATTTCCTCATATAAGTAAAAATAATTTTAGTATATACTCACATATGTTACTACTCGCTAAATCTATTTCAATGCTGAACATTTAGCTGGTATAAAATTAATACTGGCAATTATGGCATGAAAAGAACATTGCCTTGGAGAACACTGTAAGTAGTAAAGCAATTCCAAAAATTACGAACTTAAAATTAGAATTCTAAAAACTGTTATTTTAAGTAAATTCCCATGATTCTTCTGATAACAAAACATTCTTACTACTTATAAATGTAAAAACATATTTCCGTTTAACAATAAATTCTCCCATCCCGAGAAAAGAAAAAAAAAAATACTGTGTTTGAGTCTGGTCTCTGACCCTTACTGATCTTGTGGCCTTGGACAAGTCAATCCTACAAAGCCTCAAGTTACTCATACGTAAACAAAAAAGAAAGCAATTATAATATGATCTTACCGAGTAAAATATCAATATTAAATGTAACATGGTATGTGAAAGTGATTTCTAAACTGAAAAGTGCTGGGTATTATCTATTATCTCTGTTAATATGATTCCCATCACATAAACCACTTTCCAAAGAATAATTCGGTCCCTGAATGAATTTGGTTCTCACATATCTCTTTATCACCACAGCTGACTCTGGAAGATAAAAGTCACATTATCTTGAAAGTGGAGAAGAAAATAGAGTGTGCATAAATAAAATATACATTTATATTAGTATTTAAGTGTACATTGCATTTGTGTTAGGTATTTTAAAGATTTTTAGGAAACAAAGTCATAAGCTTTAAGTCTCATCCTCAGCTACCAAATAGTATAGAACAAGGTCAGCAAACTTTTTCTGTAAAGTGCCCAATAGTGAATATTTCAGTTCTGTGAGCCATATGGTCTCTGCCACAACTACTCAACTCAGCTGTTGTGCAAAAAACAGCTATAAACAACATGCAAATGAATGAGTATGGCTGAGTTCCAATAAAACTTTATGTATACACACTAAATTTTGGATTTTATATAGTATTCACATGTGTTTTAGTCTGGTCAGGCTGCTGTAACAAAATACCTTAGACAAGGTAATTTACAAACAACAGGAATGTATTGCTCACAGTTCTGAAGGCTAGAAAGTCCAAGATAAAGGTGCTGGCAGACTGAGTGTGTGGTGGGGGCCCATTCTCACAGATGGCACCTTCTATGTCCTTGCATGGCAAAAGGGTCAAGCAAGCTTTCTCAAGCTTCGTTTATAATGGTGCTAAATTCTATTCATGAGGTCTGTGCCCTTATGATCTAATCACCTCCTAACGACTCCACCTCTTAATATTATCACACTGGGGATGAAGATTTAACATATGAATTTTAGAAGAACACAAATATTCAGACCACAGCAACATGCCATAAAATATTATTCTTCTTTTGATTTGTTTCTGCCATTTAAACATGTAGAAATCATTAGTGCATGGGCTATGTAAAAACAGGCAGCAGGCCAGATTTGGCCTGTGAGCCAGCCCCCCATATAAAGATAACACTCCACATTGGACATTTAGATGTTTTTCTGGTAGAAGAGTAATTCAAGTTAATTCATTTAACTATAGTAAATTAGCCAGGGTTGGTAGCTTTTCAAAATTAGAATAAATTTCAGATTATATTACAAGTAAAATTCTTGATTCCTTCTTGGAGCATTGTTGGGAGATATTTGGAGGTGGCTATTCTAAGGAAAATCATCATCTACATCAATTCAAGATCCACAAAAATGGTACTTGTGCATATGCTATACCACATCATCTGCCTTCAAGTGGCTTATCATGGAACCTGGAATGGCTTATACATTTTGAGTGTTTATTACAAATTTGCATCTGAAGAATTCTTGCACGTGGTCGTGTATTCTATTTCTCAGGCAATGTAGTAAGAGTGTAGTTTGAAAAGTCACTCAAACCAGGTTTGCTATGCTCCGAATGTTTGTGTCACCCTAAAATTCATGTGTTGAACCATAATCACCAATGTAATGGTATTACGAGGTGGGGCCTTTGGGAGGTGATTAAGCTTTAGGGCAGAGCCCTCATGAATGGGATTAGTGCCCTTATAAAAAAGGGCCCAGAGAGCTGCCTTGCCCCTTCCCCAATGTGAGGACACAGCAAGAAGGTGCCATCTATGAAACAGGAAGCAGTTTATCGCCAGACCCCAAATCTGCCTGCACCTTGATCTTTAATTTCCCAGATTCTAGAACTGGAAAACACATTTCTGTTATTTAAAAGCTACCCAGATTTTGGTATTTTGTTATAGCAGCCCAAACAAACTAAGACAGGGGTTAAATCTCAGCTTTCCTGCTCAATAACTATGTGATTTCCCAGCACTTTGGGAGGCTGAGGTGGGTGGATCACAAGGTCAGGAGTTCAAGACCACCCTCGCCAAGATGGTGAAACTCCCTCTCTACTAAAAATAGAAAAAAAAAAAATTAGCCAGTCATGGTGGTGGGTGCCTGTAATCCCAGCTACTCAGAATGCTGAGGCAGGGAATTGCTTGAACCTGGGAGACACAGGTTGCAGTAAGCCAAGATCATGCCACTGCACTCTAGCCTGGGTGATAGAGCGAGACTCCATCTCAAAAAAAAAAAACCACACAAAAAAAAAAAACAAAAAAAAACTCTGATTTAAAGGGAGCTTGTCAAATCCTTTAATTCCTCATTTGTAAAATAAGAAAAAGAATAAGAATATTTGCATGGTTTTTGGAAAGTGAAAGGAGGTCACATAGGTAAAGCGCTCAGGGCAACACATGGTTCCTCTCCCTCATTCTAGTTACAATTTCAAAAATATGTTTCAAAACCCATGTTACTCTAAAGCAAGGCAAATTTCCATCTTTTACTTCTTATTTTTTTCTGCATTCAATATAATCATATGAGGAACCAGTAATGATTCTAAAATTCTTGCTCACACCCGTAATCCCAGCACTTTGGGAGGCTGGTGGGCAGATTGCTTTAGCTCGTGTATCCAAGACCAGCCTGGGCAACATGGTGAGACCCCATCTCTACTAAAAATGCAAAAAAAATAGCCGGCTGTGGTGGTGCACACCTGTGGTCTCAGCTACTCGGGAGGCTGAAGTAGGAGGATTGCTTAAGTGAGGTGTGCTGGGGAGGGGGCGGAGGTTGCAGTGAGCCAAGATCATGCCACTGCACTCCAACCTTGGTGACATAGCAAGATCCTGTCTCAAAAAAATAAATAAATAAAATTCTTATCACGTATTAGTATTCATGATCACATCTATCTGCATTTAAAATGCCTTGTAACAAGGAAGCTAAGCACTCATTTTATTGAAACATTCTAGATATGTCTGTTTTCTAATGCAAAGACATTCACAAGAACATCTAAGCATTAACCTCAGTGTTCAAAGTGTCAAAAAGATTTTGAAATCATGAATATTTTTATGTAAAATACTGATTTAATGTTTCTCAGAAAAATTCAAGTCTAAGGGTGGCATCAGCAGAATAGCAGTTCTCAGGATTCACCCACCACCCCACTTCCCTACGCCTCCACTGAGAGATCAACTAGCAACTATGCACAGATAAGAACACCTTGGTGAAAATCCTGAAACATAGAAATAAGCCTAAGTCACCTGCATGTTCCATAGAAGTGAGTAAAAATCCACATTGAAAGGGTAGGAGAAATGGTGTATCTCCCTTCCCCAAGTCACCACAGTGCCATACAGAGAGGATTCCCCAGGGCCTACAGTGGGAAAAGACAACCTGGGTGGTGGACATCCAGCTTCCCTAGGATTCAGAGATGCTTCCCTGAAAGCCCACTCTCTTCTCACCTCACAGTAACGGTAGGGAAAAACTGCACAGCTAGACTACGTGGGGTCAGGTAGAAACAAAGCAAGAGTTGCAAAGCCCACAGAGACCAGTGCACAAATTTTGGCGAAAGTTCAGTGTACCTCCCAGCAGTGGTGCTAGATCAGAGATACCAGATTCCCCACCCCACCCCCCACCCCCACAAAGCTGGACTGGTCACTCCCAGAAGAGGTGGGAAATGCTACCTGCTTTGAATCCGTAGATAGCTAGCTGCCAGGCCCAGCCTCAGACTTGGCCAGAGTATCCCCCCTCACCCAGGAAGGGAGAAGACCCCCTGACAGTGAATTTCAACAAAAAAAGTAAGGACTAGTTCTGCCATACCCAGGAGTTTAATCAGCATTCCTTGCTGCCACAGAACACAACCCCAGATCCCTCCCAGGGAGGGAGACAAATCTCAACAGTACCTTTCTACTGAGTATAGCAGTTGGTCCATTCATCCTGATATACTTAATCTCAGGAACCCTCCTGCAACCCTGTCCAACTGCTGAACTGAAATAGTAGTACCTTCTGGCCACAGAATACACCCTGTGGCCCAGCTTGATCAGAGGCAATTGAAATGCCTATCCAGTAGCTCAGCCTGATTGCAGAGGTCAGCCAGTGGTCTTGCCAGATAGCAGAGCCCAGCTAGCTGCCCCACCCAAATTCAGAGCAAAAGCAGCAGCCCAGCCATCTAGAGAACCTAAAAGCAAGCTCTGCCTTTCCAGGGTCATTACCAGCTGACTCACCTAGAAGCATGGGCTAGATTAAATAGTCATTCATTCAGGAAGCACTCATGAAGAGCCTACCAGGTGCCGGCCCTGGCCTGGGGCTGGGCTTAGAGCCGGGGCAGGATGGCCTGGCATCTGCTCCGTGGAGCTCACAGCCCAGCCTAGGCTGGCAACTCCAGTCTGCCCCAGTTTCCAGTTCTGTCCATTCCCCTTGCAGCTCAGCATGGATGAAGCTTTGAAATCCAGCTCTCCCTCTCCCTCTCCCTCTCCCTCTCCCTCTCCCTCTCCCGTCTCCCCACGGTCTCCCTCTCCCTCTGTTTCCACAGTCTCCCTCTTATGCCGAGCCAAAGCTGGACTGTACTGCTGCCATCTCGGCTCACTGCAACCTCCCTGCCTGATTCTCCTGCCTCAGCCTGCCGAGTGCCTGCGATTGCAGGGGCGCGCTGCCACGCCTGACTGGTTTTCGTATTTTTTTTGGTGGAGACGGGGTTTCGTTGTGTTGGCCTGGCCGGTCTCCAGCTCCTAACCGCGAGTGATCCGCCAGCCTCGGCCTCCCGAGGTGCCGGGATTGCAGACGGAGTCTCGTTCACTCAGTGCTCAATGGTGCCCCGGCTGGAGTGCAGTGGCGTGATCTCAGCTCGCTACAACCTCCACCTCCCAGCCGCCTGCCTTGGCCTCCCAAAGTGCCGAGATTGCATCCTCTGCCCGGCCGCCACCCCGTCTGGGAAGTGAGGAGCGTCTCTGCCTGGCCGCCCATCGTCTGGGATGTGAGGAGCCCCTCTGCCTGGCTGCCCAGTCTGGGAAGTGAGGAGTGTCTCCGTCCGGCCACCATCCCATCTAGGAAGTGAGGAGCGCCTCTTTCCAGCCGCCATCCCATCTAGGAAGTGAAGAGCGTCTCTGCCCGGCCGCCCATCATCTGAGATGTGGGGAGCGCCTCTGCCCCGCAGCCCCGTCTGGGATGTGAGGAGCATCTCTGCCCGGCCGCGACCCCGTCTGGGAGGTGAGGAGCGTCTCTGCCCGGCCACCCCGTCTGAGAAGTGAGGAGACCCTCTGCCTGGCAACTGCCCCGTCTGAGAAGTGAGGAGCCCCTCCGCCCAGCAGCTGCCCCGTCTGAGAAGTGAGGAGCCTCTCCGCCCGGCGGCCACCCCGTCTGGGAAGTGAGGAGCGTCTCCGCCTGGCAGCCACCCCATCCGGGAGGGAGGTGGGGGGTCAGCCCCCCGCCCGGCCAGCCACCCCGTCCGGGAGGGAGGTGGGGGGGTCAGCCCCCCGCCTGGCCAGCCGCCCCATCCGGGAGGTGAGGGGCGCCTCTGCCCAGCGGCCCCTACTGGGAAGTGAGGAGCCCCTCTGCCCGGCCAGCTGCCCCGTCCGGGAGGGAGGTGGGGGGTCAGCCCCCCGCCCGGCCAGCCGCCCCGTCCGGGAGGGAGGTGGGGGGGGTCAGCCCCCCGCCCGGCCAGCCGCCCCATCCGGGAGGTGAGGGGCGCCTCTGCCCAGCCGCCCCTACTGGGAAGTGAGGAGCCCCTCTGCCCAGCCAGCCGCCCCGTCCGGGAGGGAGGTGGGGGGTCAGCCCCCACCCGGCCAGCCGCCCCATCCGGGAGGGAGGTGGGGGGTCAGCCCCCCGCCCGGCCAGCCGCCCCGTCCGGGAGGGAGGTGGGGGGGTCAGCCCCCCGCCCGGCCAGCCGCCCCGTCTCCGGGAGGTGAGGGGCGCCTCTGCCCGGCCGCCCCTACTGGGAAGTGAGGAGCCCCTCTGCCCGGCCACCACCCCGTCTGGGAGGTGTGCCCAACAGCTCATTGAGAACGGGCCAGGATGACAATCGCGGCTTTGTGGAATAGAAAGGGGGGAAAGGTGGGGAAAAGATTGAGAAATCGGATGGTTGCCGTGTCTGTGTAGAAAGAAGTAGACATGGGAGACTTTTCATTTTGTTCTATACTAAGAAAAATTCTTCTGCCTTGGGATCCTGTTGATCTGTGACCTTACCCCCAACCCTGTGCTCTCTGAAACATGTGCTGTGTCCACTCAGGGTTAAATGGATTAAGGGCGGTGCAAGATGTGCTTTGTTAAACAGATGCTTGAAGGCAGCATGCTCGTTAAGAGTTGTCACCACTCCCTAATCTCAAGTACCCAGGGACACAAACACTGCGGAAGGCCTTCCGCAGGGTCCTCTGCCTAGGAAAACCAGAGACCTTTGTTCACTTGTTTATCTGCTGACCTTCCCTCCACTATTGTCCTATGACCCTGCCAAATCCCCCTCTGTGAGAAACACCCAAGAATGATCAATAAAAAATAAAAATAAACAAAAAAAAATAGTGAAGGTCTATTCCTGGTAAGGGACACCTATAAAAGCCAGAAAAGGTAGCTGTCTCTGCAAATGCACAGACACCAATGCAAGAATGCAAGAATTACAAAGACTCAGGAAATCATGATACCTCCAACAGAAACTAACAAATCTTCAACAATAGACCCTAAAGAAAAGGAGATCTATGACACGTCAGAAAAAGAATTCAGAATGATCCTCTTTAAAAAAAGAAAAAGAAGAAGAAGAAGAATTTCAAGAATATACAAATTAAAAATTAAATGAAACTTGGAAAATAATACACAAACAAAACAAGGAGTTCGACAAAGAAATAAACATTTTTTTAAACCAAAGAGAAATCCTAGAGATGAAGAATACAATAACTGAAATTAAAAATTCAATAGAAAGCTTCAACATCCAGCTCAATCAAGCTAAAGAAAACATCAGTGAGCTTCCAAACAGAACATTTGAAATTACCCAATCAGAGGAGCAAAAAGAGAAAGAAATAAAGAAAGCCGGCAGGAATTGTGGGACACCATTTAGAGACCTTATTTATGTGTAATAGTAATATAAGAAGAAGAAAGAGAAAAAGAGCCAGGAAATATATTAAAAGGAATAATGGATGAAAACTTCCCTAATCTGAGGAAGGAAGCCAGCATCCAGGTACAAGAAGTTAAAAGGTCTCTGATCAAATTCAACTCAAAGAGGAGTTCACCAAAACACATAATAATTAAACTACCAAAAATCAAAGACAAAGAAAAAATTCTGAGAGCCTCAAGAGATAAGAAATACATCACGTACAAAGGAGTCACAATATGACTATCTGTGGACTTCTCAGCACAAAACCTGCAGGCCAAGAAAGAGTGGGATGATAGAGTCAATGTGCTGAATGTGCTGAAGGAAAATAATCACAAACCAAGAATACTTCATCCAGAAAAGCTGCTTTTCATAAATGAGGCATAAATAAAAACTTTCCCAGATAAACAAAAGTTAAGGAGGTTCATCCTCCACTAGGCATGCATTACAAGAATTGATATTAAAAAAAAGTTCTTTAAACTTTAAACAAAAAACTGCTAATTAATAACATAAAACTTACAAAAGCAAAAAACTCAATGATATAAATAATACAGAGCAATATTCAGAATGCTCTAGGACTGTAATGGTGGTATGTCAAGTAATTTTATCCTTAGTAGGAGGGTTAAAGAATGAAACTATTCATAACAACTACAGCTAAAATGAATTGGAAAGGGATACATACTACAAAATGATAATATACATTTACATAAAAATATAAATTCAGACATCAAAAATATAAAATAGGAAAAAGTCAAAGCATGGAGTTGTATGCAATCAAAGTTTCATTGTTATCAGCTTCAAATAGACTGTTATGAGTGTAAGATGTTCTACATAAGCCTCATGGTAACCAAAAAGCACACACACGCACACACACACACACACACACACACAAAGATACAAAAAATACTACTACAGAAAACCATCGAACCACAAAGCAAGACAACAACAGAGGAAAAAAGAAACAAAGATCTAAAAACAACCAGAAAACAATCTTTTAAATGGCAGTAGTAAGTCTTTACCTGGCAATAATTATCTTTAATGTAAATAGATTAAATTCTCCAAAAAAAATTGTAGAGTGAATGAATGAATTTTAAAAAACAAGACCCAACTATATGCTTCCTACAATAAACTCACCTTTTGTATGCTTTTAAGGACACACATAAACTAAAAGTGAAGGGATGGAAAAAGACTTTTCATCCAAATAGAAACCAAAAGAAAGCAGGGATAACAATACTTACATCAGACAAAACAGACTTAAGTCAAAAACTGTAAAAGGAGAAAAAGGAAGACATTATAAAGAATTGCTTCATCAAGAGGATATAGCAGAGGTAAATATATATGCAACCAAAGTGGAGCACCTACATATCTAAAGCAAATATTAAAAGATTTGAATGGAGAGATAGATTACAATACAATAATAGTAGGAGACTTTAATACACCACTTTCAATAATGAGCAGACCACCCAAACAGAAAATTAATAGGGAACCACTGGACTTGAAGAACACTTTGGACCAAATGGACCTAACAGGCATACACAAAAGTTCCATCTAGCATGGATAAAATACACATTTTCCTCAAGTGCACATGGAACATTCTCCAGGATAGATCATATATTAGCCCACAAGAAAAGTCTTGGCAAATTTAAGATGATTAAAATTATATCAAGTACCTTTCCAAGCACAATGATATGAAACTAGAAATCAATAAGTGGAGGAATTTAGGAAACTGTATTAATATATGGATATTAAGCAACATGCTCCTGAACAACCAATAAATCAATTTTAAAAATTTGAAGGGAAATTTAAAAATATCTTGAGACAAATGAAAATGGAAACACAACACACTAAAATTTACAGGATGCAGCAAAAGCAGTTCCAAGAGGGAAGTTTATAGCAATAAACTCCTACATCAAAAAGCAGAAAGACCACAAATAAACCACTTAATGTTATGCCTCAGGAAAATTTAAAAAAACTAAGCCCAACATCAGCATATGAAAAGAAATATTAACAATTAGAGCACAAATAAGTAAAATAGAGACTAGAAAAGCAATGAAGGTCAATGAAACAAAAGGTCAATGAAACTGAGAGTTGGTTTGTGAAAAAATAAGCAAAAGCAACAAATGAGGTAGAATAACCAAGAAAAAGCACTCAAGTAAAGTCAGAAATGAAAGAAGAGACATTACAACCAACAAAATAGAAAAACAAAGGATCATCAGAGACTAATGTGAACAACTATATGCCAAAAAATTGGATAACCTAGAAGAAATGGATAAATTCCTAAACACACACAACTTACCAAGACTGAATCACAAAGAAATAGAAAATCTGAACAGACCAATAACAAGTAAGGAGATTGAATCAGTAATAAAAAGTTTCCCATCAAAGAAAAACCCAAAATCTGATGGTTTCACTGCTTAACTCTACCAAACATTTAAAGACAAATTAATGTCAACCCTTCTCAAACTCTTCCAAAAAATTAGAGGAGAGAACCCTTTCAAACGCATTCTGCAAGGCCAGCATTACCCTTATACCAAAGCCAGACAAGGACATCACAAGAAAATGAAACTACAGGCCAATATCATTGATTAACATAAATGTAAAACTCCTCAACATAATAATACCAAATCAAACTCAACAACACATTAAAAGGATCATCCACCATGATGAAATTGAATTTATGCCTGGGATGCAAAGAGGTTTCAACATATGCAAATCAATAAACATGTACATCACGTTAACAGAGTAAGGAACAAAAGTCATATGATCACCTAATTAGATGCAGAAAAAGCATTGACAAATTCAACATCCTTTCATGATTAAAAAAATTCAATACATTAGATATAAAAGAAATGTACTTCAACATGATAAAGCCCATATATAATAAGCCCATACCTAACATTATACTCAACAGTGAAAAATTGGAACCCTTTCCTACAAGATCCAAAAGAAGGCAAGGATGCCCATTCTTGACACTTCTATTCAACACAGTATTGGAAGTTCTTGCCAGAACAATAAGGCAAGAAAAAGAAACGAAAGACATCCAAATAGGAGAGGAAGAAATGAAACTGTCACTATATGCTGACAACATGATCTTATATATAGAAAACCATAAAGAGTCCACCAACACACTGTTAAAAATGATAAACAAATTCAGTAAAGATGCAGGATTTTAAAAAAATCAACATTCAAAAATCAGTAGTGTTGCACTACACTAACAACAAACTTTCCAAAAAAGAAATCAAGAGAATAATCCCATTTATGATTGATATTAAAATAAAATACATTACTTAGAAATAAATTTAACCAAGGAGGTGAAAGACCTGTACACTGAAAACTATAAAACATTAATGAAGGAAATTGAAAAAGACACAAATAAATGGAAATATATCCCATGTTTCTGGATAAGAAGACTTAATATTGTTAAAATGTCCATACTACCCAAAGAAATATACAGTCAGTGCAATCCCTATCAAAATTCCAATGTAATTTTTATAAATACATTAAAAATACTCCTAAAATTTATATGGAACCACAAAAATATTGAATAGTCAAGTCAATAACAAGCAAAAAGAACAAAGCTAGAAGCATCACGCTACCTATTTCAAATTATACTACACAGCAATAGTACTAAAACACCATGGTGCTGGCATAAAAATAGACACATGGATCAATGGAACAGAAGAGAGAGCCCAGAAATGAACCCATACATCTGCAATCAATTGATTTTGGACACATATACAATGGGAAAAGGACATCCTCTTCAATAGTGTTGAGAAAACTGGATATCCATATGCAAAAGAATGAACTGAGACCCTTATTTCACAATATATACAAAAATCAACTCAACTCTTAACCATAAGACCAGAAACTTTAAAATTACTAGAAGAAAACGTAGCAGGGAAAACTACATGACATTGGTCTGAACAATGATTTTGACAACCTGTGGATTCAGAGAAAATATTTACAAACCATACATCCGATAAAGGATTAATTTCAAAAATATATAAGGAACTCAAACAACTCTATAGAAAGAAAATAATAGTAATCCAATTAAGAAATGGGCAAGAGTTCTGAATAAACATTTCTCAAAAGAAAACATATGAATGACTAACAAATTAATGAAAAAATGCTCAATATCACTAATTATTAGGGAGATGCAAATTAAAACCACAATGAGATAGCATCTCATGCTTGTTAGAATTGGCTATTATCAAAAAGACAAAAAATAAGTGTTGGCAAAGAAGTGGAGAAAAGAGAACACTTTTATACTGTTGGTGGGAATGTGAATTAATACAACCATTATGGAAAATGGTATGGAGCTTTCTCAATGAACTGAAAATAGATCCACCATATGATCCAGCAATCCCACTTCTAGATTATTTAGCTGAAGGTTTGAAATAATTAATTGTGTCAAAGAAATGTCTGAACTTCCGTGTTCACTGCAGCACTATTCACAATAGCCAAATTAAACAATCAACCTAAATACCCATCAACAGACAAAGAAAGAAAATGTGGTACATATACACAATGAAAAAAGAAGAAATTATATCATTTGCGACAACATGGACGGTATTGGAGAATATTATGATACGAGAAATAAGCCAGAAAGACAAATAGACATGTTCTCACTTAATATGGGGAGCCTAAAACAACTGAGCTCATAGAAGCAGAGAGTAGAATGGTGGTTAACAGAGAGGCTGGAGGACATAGGAGGAATGGGGAGACAATAGTCAAAGGGTACAAAGCCTGAGTTAGATAAAAGGAATACGTTCGATTTTTTTGGACCTAATGCACAGCACGAGGAATATAACTAATAATTGAGTACCATACATTTCAATATCACTAAGAGAATAAATTTTAAATGTTCTCATCACAAAAAATATTAAATGTTTGAGGTGATGGATATATTAATTTGCTTGATTTAATCATTACATATTGTATTCATAAATCATCACTTTGTACCCTATAAACATATATAACCATAATTTGACAGCATATAATTTAAAATTTTTAAATATGTCTACTTTGTTTTCTTTTCAGTTGTACAGGTTTTTTACACTGTGAATCTTTCCATTCTACTTGATATCAAATGAAAAATCTGCTGAGAATTCTCAAAACTGGAAAAAGCTGAGATAAAATATCTCAATATAGAAGGGACAATGATACATACGTATCAAGGCCAATCAGTTAGAAGTGCACAGCTATTTTTCATGTACTCTTCAGATCATTGTTTTGGCAGACAGCAGGTTCTGGAGTCAGACTGCCTGTGCTCAAATCCCAGCTCTTCAACTAGTAGGTTTAATAACCCTAGGCAAGTTTAGTAACCTCTGTGCCTCAGTTCCCTCAGGAAAGGATAGTATTATCTCAGAGGAAGGTCAGTTGTAAGAATTACATAGTATGTCTGAATTTGGGTTCTCCTGAAAGAAGACCCTGAGATGGGTCTTAGGATCAGGTAGCTTGTTGGGGAGGTGAAAGAGTGGAGGGAGGAGTTGGAAGAGTGAGTCAGGGAGGGAGAAATGCCATGCCAGCTAAGGATGAACTGGTGGGCTGGTTATCATGCTGAGCACTTGCAGCTCAATCCTCCAGGGGAATTTCTGAGGAACCTTATAGAATGGTCCTCAAAACTGTCTCTCTTAAGGATGAGAAGCTGATGCGTTTATACACTAACTTCCAATCTGCGTTTGTTGAGGTTCACTCCTGGGAGCTTTAACTTCTCTGCACAAACTGGCTGGCTTGTTCACTGACTGGGCAACCTTCCCCAGCTTCAGAAGAAGCCGTGAGGCAGGAAAGCTAAGGCATATACTTGAGAGGGAATGATGGCCTCAAACACAGAGATTCCCACTGCAGCCGCACTAAAACCAAGCTGATCTATGCACTGCGGCTTGGGGTTCAGAAATTATCTGGTGTGGGGATGGGTGCGGTGGCTCAAGCCTGTAATCCCAGAACTTTGGGAGGCCGAGGCGGGGGGATCACAAGGTGAGGAGTTTGAGACCAGCCTGACCAACATAGTGAAACCCCATCTCTACTAAAAATACAAAAATTAGCTGGGCAGGGTGGTGCCCACCTGTAATCCCAGCTACTCAGGAGGCTGAGGCAGGAGAATCGCTTGAACCCGGGAGGCGGAGGTTGCAGTGAGCTGACATCATGCCACTGCACTCCAGCCTGGGCGACAAGAGGGAGACTCTGTCTCAAAAAAAAAAACAAAAAAAAAGAAAAGAAAAGAAAAAAAGAAATTATCTGGTGTGATGCATGAAATGCTAAGCACAGGGTATGAAAAATAGCATCTGCTTGAAAATTCTAATTAGTAGTAGTAGTAGTATCAGAATCAACGCTGAAATGTAAGGAAGGTAAACACCATTCACCTTTTGGATCCTGAAGACTAAATAATGTTGACACATACCCAGATAGAAGATTCAGGCAATAGTGCAAGTCACAGAAGAGCATAAAATAATGAGCTCAACTAGGATTCCACAGGGTTCTAGGTGCCCACAGGATATTGTGGTGGAGAGATCTAACAAATAGAGGGGAATTTTTGTCTGGAACTCAAGGGAGAATGAGTGAGAGCTGGAGGTGGAGACTTGGGAACCATCAGTATCTGCATTAAAGTTCAAATATTGATGTGTGATCCTAGAAGAAGGAAAATTCATTGAAGAAAATAAGAGGGCTAAGACCAGAGCCTCAGGCAACAGTGGTATCTAAGGGAACATGAAAGGAGAGTGATGCTGGAAAGCAAACTCGGTAGAATAATCCTGCCAGGGAAGTAGGAGGCAAGCAGGAGAGGGTGGTGTCATGAAAACCAGAGCAGAGAGAAAGAGGAAAGTTTCCAGAAGGAGAGTGTGTAAAGCAGTGTCAAATGCTGCAGAGACTAACATGAAAACAACTAAAAAACTTAATTACATGCTTTCTTTAGGATGTATTTGTTTTTAATGGAATATGATTTTAGTTTGGAAAAGTAGAAACAATAAGAGTAATGAATAGAAACTGAAGCACAGGAAAATCTATTAAATTCAATTCAATGTGATACGCTTTTTGAGCACCTATAGTGTAGACACAGATTATCCAAAAATCATGCAAAACTAATAATTGAAAATTCTTTAATCCTCCTCATCTGTTTCTCTTCTTGAAAAGTGGGTTTTATGGTATGAAAATTTCATATTATGGAATTGGCCGCAAGCTTTAACTCTATTTGTGTGCATTACTTGATCAGCAAGCATTCCTAACTGCTTTTTCTCCACTAGAATGCAAGGCATGTCATCTCAACAAAGGAAGCTATGCAAGCCAACCTAATTATTAATACACCCACTGGCTTTTCCAAACATATGCTTAAACGTCGTCTTCATTCTGTGATTTGATAGCCTAGTATTGGAAAACAAGAAACCTCACTTGTTTCATTGCCATAATAACCAATTGTCTTTTAGCTTTATGAGGAGGCATTGGCCACTAGGTGGAGAAAGATACCCAGTGACCCCCTAGGCAAAGACATGAACTGGATTTTTACCTCCCCGGATTCACTTAGTAACTCTCTAGACAGTAGGTTGAATTCAGTTGCGAACAAAAGAAATCTCTATGAATGGTAATGGCAAGTATTCCAGGCACTTAGGGGTCATTACTCTTTTCCCTGGAATCTATGCTTTCACTATCCAAGAATGAGTCCCTGCCCTTCTGATCAAGATAACCCTCAGAATTTGAATTAATGAGTCTTATTGTTCTGTCTCTCAGCCTTGAGCCTCTGCACAGCCCCAGGGAACACAGCACTAGCTACATGTGTGAAATAGAAAGAATTATTCTCCTCCATCCCCTCTCCAGCCATGGTGCCACCCTGAGATACCACCTTTGCCCTTAAAACACGTAAACCATACCATCCAGAAATCATTACATTTTTACTGGAAACTTCAGAAGGACAAAAGGTCTTCAGGACCTAAAGGAATAAAACTGTTAAGGGTTAAGTTTTAGAACCGCAACTGGCAGACTCATAAGCCATCCTAGGACCTGCCTTGATCTAGAATTATAGTAAATGTCCCATTATCTTTGAATAACTAATGTGAATGATATTTTATAAAGAAGTCTGTCTCTCTAGCCAAAAGACATTTTTGTTCAAACAAATTAAAGAATTTAATTGCTTATAAAACTTTTTCTACATGCTTTATTTCTCAAACTTTTAAAATCAGAGCATAATCTTGTTTTTTTTCTTTCTAATCTTTTCCTCTGATTACACATCTCTCCTATTTTTAATGCATTAATCACTTTTACAAAAGACCTTAAAAATAGACGTTTAACTATTTCTCCAAATAGTTATACACTTATTATTTTCTCATCCCTTATTTAAACAGTTAGGCATGTCTAAATATGTGAGTTATTTGCTGAAAAATATTTTCCTACTTTCCAATTGATCAGTGCCGGCAGAGAGGAAAAATAAGAACAGACATAATTGTTTCACAGACTTCATTATCTTCTTGCCCAAGAATATTCCAGCATCTGTCTTTTTAAACCTTGCATTATAAAAATTAAAAGAAAAAAGTGGAATAATGAATGCACAGAGAGGTGAATAATAAAAGCTAAAAAGGAAACTCAGTGGAATTGAATGAAGTAAGGACTACACGGAAAATATCTGATGAGGTCTCAAGGCTGCATCTGAAGACCTTATTGGTTTTTACCCCAGACTCGTTCCTTTCTAACCATTGGTCTTTTCAGAATTGATTCCTTACTCTCCTTTCATCTCCAGCTGCTGCTTTCCCTGATGTTTTGGATCTCGTAAAGATGCCAGTAGTTCTAAAGGTAACCATTAACTTTAATTATTTTATGGAGAAATTGCTATGATTAACTTAGTTGATACAAACATTTTGAGATCAAACCTTTTACTCAGCTAGATTACTTCAACCTTCAAGAAACCATGCCCCATGCACATGTGCAAACTCCATGCATATATAGAATCACAAAAATTTAGAGTGGAGACCTCAGGCAGGATCTAACCCCGGTCCCCTCATTGAATGCCAGGACATGAAAGCCTGGCACTGAGAAGCACCTTCCTCCATATCTCATAATGATGGGTGATGAATTTCACCCATGAAACAGTGCTCCTCATTCCTGATCCAGTGCTGATCCCAAGTTAAGATCTTCCTGATGTACAGAGGAGTTCAGCCTCAACTGAGTGTCCTTGTTACACTGATGGAGAACAGCAGAAGCTCTATGATTTCTACCACCAGAAATAAACAGATTAGTGGTCTGTACAGCTTGGATTTCTCAGACAGTCTGGTCTTCCTACATGAGGGGCTAGCAGAGCCATTAGCTCAAGCTTCAAACATAGACTTTTCACCTTAAACTCCAAATGATATTAAACATTTAGTTACAGAAAGACAAAAATGGGACTGAAGGACATTCTCCACATAACTTGAAACTTGGGTCCCTCCCAACTTTCAACCCTGGAACTTTCAACCCTGGATGACCACCCTGTAGGGCACCAGGATCTTATGAATAACACAATTGTGTTACATGATGCATCGCATGTGAGCGCTTATGTTAACATCATTGATTTGTTCAATGCAATTACGTAAACTATATAGATGCTTTGGTATTTCACTTTTTCATATACCAGAAGACTTAGAAATGAAAGGGATCTGACTTTTTTGGAGAAGCTCTGCTAAGAGAAGTACGACCAGGTCATTTGTGGGAAAATAGGCAATTCATCTAATAAAAACAGAGGCACCACTCACAAATACTTTTGCTCTGCTAGACATTCTATTTGGAGCTTTGTAATACCATACCATGAAATAATACATGATTCTATGCAATCTTCACAATACCCTATGACCTAGGAACTATTATCACACCCAATTCACAGATGAGGAAACTGGGGCTTAGGTTAAGTGCTCAAGCACATACAATTAGTAAGCAGTTAAGCCAGGACTAGAAAGAACCCACTAGTGGCTGACACCAAAGCCACATTCCAGCCATGCTGGATCACCTCCCAAGGTGGGTTAAAATTTTTACGAAGCAATCCTAATGCTTCAAGAAAATCATCAGGAGGTCTTCACCTCCCACTTAAGGACCTGTCAATCACATATTAAGTTCTTCCCCTCAGCTGGTACTGCCCATAACTTAATAACATAGAGGACATGAAATGCTACAGCTTGTCCTAGAGAGGTATTTGTGGGAGGGTCTACATTATACTGAAAGCTGAATGTCAGTGGCATGAGGACTAACTGCTGTTTGACTTACCTGTGATCCTACATCCTTTCCCCAGGCTTTGTTTCTCACTCACTTCTGACAGTAGCCATTTCTGGTCCTTGTTTGCATTATAATCTATTGAATGGTGCAGTTAGGTTGCTCCTCAGTTTTTCTGCCCACTTCAAAATAATAACCAAATCCTGTTTCTGTTTCTTTCTCCATAAACTCTAAAGAACAACATTTTTGTCCAATATTCTCTCAGGGCCCATGATAGGCCAAACCATCTCAAAGCCTAAGGTTATGTGAGTTGCTCACCCAGGACTGGGACCAGGTAAAGTCAGAAGGATGGGAGAGTTTGTCTTCAGTGCCTCTCTTCACTTGCTCTCCACACAACTGTCTTCTGTTCTGCTCTTCCTGGACCTCTTATGCCTGCATACTGCCCTGGATTCCTGTAGTTAGCTTGGTAATGATATTACTAATGGCCATATGTATTTGTGTCTGTCTGGTCACGGTTCCTTACTCCTCCAGAAGACACCTGGAGGAAGTAAAGCCATTGGTAGAATTTCAGAAACTGCACACCTGGTTGGAAGGCAGTTTCAGGAAAGAGTGGCTGCTATGACAGGTAATTGATTATTTGCTCACAGAAGTAGGCACTTCCTAAAACTAATTGTTACATCTCAGACCATGCATGGCCAAGTGTGTACCTTCTTCCTTGCATCAAGATGAGGAAGCCTAGGAAAGACAGAGCCACCCAATGGAGAGGCCTCAAGAAGAAGTTCAGCCCAAGAGGCAGAATCCAGTGTCTGCAGGGTTCAAGGCTATAGAGAAAGGAAGTGGTCCAGGCAAGCTGTCAACATCAGGAGCATAACACAAATTGGCAGGTGGGTGGAACAAGAAGGAGGAGATTCACCCTAAAGCAGTCACATTCAGAGATGCGTAGAGAAAAGAACCACTGGGGAGACAGGGCTCAGCAGCCAGGCTGGGGGGAAGGAGCACTGCGTGAATCTCTGGCATGCCGAGGGCCAGACTAGCACAGGTCCCTGACTCTAAAGGGACCAAGATACCAGGCAGGTAGCAGAGATGTTAATTTGACTCAGGAAATAAGACAAGAATCTATCTCCTGAGTATAAGTGCAAGGCCTACATCCCAGGGTAAAACCTCCCTCATCATAATGGAGATACAAGTTCAAGGCTAGACTTGGTGCTCTGGCCCCTAGACAGAGTCCTGCAAACTCACTGGATTGTAGTCAGGGTAGATCCATCCTTAAGATGTGGAGACAACTGGCCCAGCAGCTGAAAGAGCAGTGACTCCAGGTTGGAGGTACGAGATGGGGTTAGGGAGGGTCCATGTAACACTTTATGCTAACTAGGAAAAGGCATCCCAAGCAGACTGTGGTAAACCTGTGGACACAGTGCTTGGCAAGTGCACCACATTTTTGTGTTATTTGGTAAGATGCCTCTCCCAGTTGGACCTAGGCCTGCACAGGCACAGCCTGATGTGTGGGAAGCAGACTAGATTCTGGCCTCCTCCTTCTTCCTCAGTCAGGCACTGCGATGGTAATGTTAGGTGTCAGCTTGACTGGATTGAGTCACCTAGATGGCTGGTGAAGCATTGTTTCTGGGTGTGTCTGTAAGGGTGTTTCAGGAAGAGATTGCCATGTGAGTCAGTGGGCTGACAGAGGAAGACCTGCCCTCAACGCGGCCAGCACCATCCAGTAAGCTACAGGCCCATTTGGGACAAAACTGGCAGGAAAAGGAGGATTTACCTTCCCTACTGTCTCTCTCCCCTACAGAGCAGGACCTTTTTCTCCTCCTTCCTTTGGACATCAGACTCCAGGTTCTTCAGCTTGCAGACTCTGGGACTTGCCCCAGCAGCCTCCCAAGGGGGCTCTTGGGCCTGAGGCCTGCACTGTCAGCTTCCCTGGTTCTAAGGCTTTGGACAGAAACTGAGCCACACTACCAGCTTGGAGCCATGCTATCGCTTCTAAGATTCTCCAGCCTGCACTTGGCCTATTGTGGGACTTCGTCTCTGTGACTCCGTGAGCCAATTCCTCCTAATAAATCTCCTTCCGTTTATCCTACTGATTGTATCTCTGGAGAACACTGAGTAATGCAGGTACCCTTGGGCAGTAAACAACCTGTCAAACAATACCCAGCAGACTTGGAAGGCACAGTGACTTCACAGAGAGAAGATTGTACTGGAAAGGCCTAGAATTGAGGGCAATGGAAGGGTTTTCTTTCTCCCCTCTAATGTATAACCAAGCTTCCTACTCAAACCCTATGTGATAAAAAAGGAGAATCAAGCGGAACCTGCATCAGTATCTAATCAACAGACTTTTTTCCCTCCTAGAAAGGGCATTTAAATATCAATTCAAGCTAAGAAAACTGAGAAACTCCAGAATAAATGCTTTGGCAAAAACATTTGTATTCCACAACTTTCTTTTCATAGTCAAGTTATGTTCCTTCTTTGTTTTTTTCCAGGCCTTCCTAGCAGAGTTTTTGCTGTCTCTGACCAAGCTGAAGGTAAGTTGGACAGATGCACCATTCAGAGGCCAAGTTCCACACAGCAGTTTTTTTTTCTAGAAGTAACATCTGGCTCTATGGCTTTTTCCCCCTTGGAGACTCAGCGGCTGTGGACGTGGCAGGCTGCTTGGCTTGCTTCACAGCTGTGGGGCCACGTCCCAAGTTCCTCTGGCATGAGCTGCAGCTGTGCAACATCTGACTTCATCCTTCCACAACCCCCTGCACCCCTTGCCCTTTTACTTGAGGCAGACCCCCAAGAAGTCCAGGCAAAACTCTGGAAAACATGGGATGGTGTCAGCACTCTGGTCTCTGGCCCTTGGTAGCCATTAGAAGTAAAACCACACCTTGTAGGGACCAGTGTTCTGTCACCATGTTGATGGTTTGAGGAAGAGATTAAACTCTTTGGTCAGGAAAGACCTGGGGGAAAATATGAGTTTCTATTCACAAAGGAGATGAAAAGAAAAATCTTTTTGGAGAGTGGGGCCTTTTCTGTCAGTGAGACCTGAAGATTAAAAATGAAGAGAAGAGCCTATAAAGATACTTATGAAAGAATGGAGAGCAACCGTCCCTAAGGATCCAGAAATACCTGTGAATTGGAAGGATTTCAGTTCTGGTAATTCTTTGAAAACAACGCTTTCATTTTCTAAGTGATACATCCTCATTAAAGAAAATATAGAAAGAGAAAGAAAAATATATGTACCTAGAGAGAATCACACTTCTTCCACCCAAACTCAGACCATTTGGGGCATTGCCTTCTTTCCCTTTTATTCTTGTTTATAGAATTCTGGGGAATTGAGCTTACCCCTAATCATACATGATATATGTTTATATATGTACAATATTAAATTATACAAGTTTTGCCATGTAATTAATGTTCTTTGTAACAACTTTTAAGGGTGGCATAATTGAACAGTTATGGCAATTTTCTAGATCTATTATAATTCTGTTTTAATAGACACTAAAGAGACATTTTAAAGAAGCAAACAAAATCAGTAAGAAGAAAACCTGGATTTAGGCAATAAGAAGAAAGAAAAAGTAAACTCCAAGGTTTATTTATATAGCCCAGAGATTAGCAGGATGGTGATATCAATAGCAGAAATATTGAAGCAAGAAAGAGCTTGAGAGGTTGCCTAGTTCCTGGCTACTCAAAGTGTAGCCCATGAACCACCAACATCAGCATCATCAGGGAGCTTGTTAGAGGTGCAGAATCTTATCCTCCACCTCAGACCTACTGAATCAGCATCAGCATCTTAAAAGGGCCTTCAGATAGTTGATATGCCCAACAAAGATCAAGAATCACTGGCTCAATACAATCCCTTCCCCCAACCAGAGATGTAAAGTCTGGCTGCAGTCACACAGCTAAATAGTGGAGATCTGGTCTTTGGTTCTATTAAACCAAAATCTATTTTATTCAACCTCTAGTAATAATAATACAAAATAATATTTATCAATAACTAAGTGTCAGGAATGATTCTAATTGCTTTATATTTAATGCTTACAACAACCATGTTAGCATCCCTTTTTATGATCAAAAAACTGAGTTTCAAGTAACTTGCCCAAGGTCCCATATTAACTGGCAGAACTGAGATTGAACCCCGGGTATCTGTCTTCACAGTTTATACTCCTAACCACCAAAGTAAACTGGATGATGGATGGATGGATGGATGGATGGATGGATGGATGGATGGATGAATGGGTGGGTGGACAATGGGCCACTTTGCTGTACTTTAGCCTAGCTAAACTGACAAGCATACATTTAAGTATGTTAGGGATATACTTAAGTATGTATGGGACAGTATGCATAGCTATATGAATTTGAAACAAAGAAGTCTAGTTCCAAAGCCCTCACCTGCTCTTAAACAGTCACTACACCAAAACTGCAAAAGAAAACAGTATGCTAGGGTTATCCTTAATGGCTGAAAATCACTATAGGACAATGTAAGGAGTTTTACATCTCCAACAAATTGGCTATATGTTAGGCTTCCCTCTATCGGACTACTATTTTTTGTTTACCTATGAGTATCTTCTCCCAATTCATTCATTCATTTCAATCTTTATCATACCTATTTGTTCATTATTAGTTATTATGTGGCTGCTCAAGAGGTTGTGATGATCAAAGCAGACAGTCCCTACCCTCATACGATTTGCTAAAGGGAAATACAAAGATTAAATAAATAATTGCACAAATATACATTTAACTTCAAGCTGTGCTGTGAAGGAAAACTACATAGCTGAGAAAAGACAGCAGGGGGTGGTAACCTTGCCTTGAAGTCAGTCTCACTCTTCTCTACCCATCCCTGCAGTTTCACACATAGTTGACCTTCTTCTGTCATTGTTTATTCACCTAAATTTCAAACTCATTTTGCAAATATTCACATTCTTCCAAAATTACATCATTCCCTAACTCCTCCCATCAAATTCAGCATCTGTACTAGTTTCCTACTGCTGCTGTAACAAATTACCACAAGTTTAGTGGCTTAAAACAAATTTATTAGCTCACAATTCTGGAGATAAGAAGTCCAAACGGACATTCCTGGGCTAAAATCAAGGTATCAGCAGGGCTAGTTTCCTTTTGGAGGCTCTAGGGGAGAACAGGCTTCCTCGGCTTTTCCAGCTTCTAGAGGCTGCCCCCATTCTTTGGCTTGTAGCCTCCTTCTACTGGCAATTTCATTACTTTGATCTCTACTTCTGTCATCACAGCTCCTTCTGTGACTCTGATTCTCAAGCCTCTCTCTTTCGCTTATAAGGACTCCTTTGATTACATTGATTCCACCTGGATAATCCAGAATAATACTCTCTATCTCAAGATACTTAATGTAATCACAGCTTCCAAGTCACTTTTGACATGCATAGTAACACATTCACAGGTCCAGAAGATTAGCATGTGGCCATCTTTGGGGCCATTATTCTGCCTATCACAGTATGTTCCTTCTTTCTCCCGTGCCCTGTTCCTAGGCTCTGTCTCAATATATTCCCTTCATCCTATTACCCACTGTGTCCTTCTCATTCTTTCCCCTCATAATAAAACCATATAATGGTTCCAGTAACACGTCAGCCAAACAGGAAGAAGGAAGCATAATGGGTCAATCCCTGAGCCATGACTTTTCCACTGAAGCATAACCACTCCTTTTTGTTTTGTTTTTTCAAACAAAGCTATTGTCTTGGATCTGATTTTCTAAAAATCAAAACATCACGTTTCCTGGTTCAGAATGTGCCTACAAAACAATAGGAGGCTATCATTTTTTCCAGGTAACTTTTATAAAGGAAAAAGTTACATTGAAACAGTTCATTATATTGATATAGACAATGAGAAGGTCAATTAGGAAGTATATATCCAAAGCACATTCAATTCCAAAATCTATCCTAAAAAAAGTAATTAGGGATAGGCACAAAGATGCACAAATGTTAATGATGAAGAGTAGAGAACAACCTAAATGTTCAAGATTACAGAATCAATTCATGAATTATTACATATCCTGTGCAGAGGGCCACTATATAGCCTTTAAAATGATATCATGGTACATATTAAGTGACATGAAATAGAGTAGCGACCTCAATTTTCAGAACAATACAACATGGTTGATTAATATATATTACACCCAGTTATATTACTAAGATTATACCCAGTTATAAACAACCACAGGGAGTTTTATTTCTTCTTCTTTTGGCTATGGTTTTCTAATTACCCCACTGTCATTTACATTACTAAGCCATAAAAAAGCAAAGTAGGATTTACTGATGAAAACACGTGAATATTTAAAATTTTTTAATCATAGCAATAGTAACTAGAATGCATTTAGTTCTTAGGAGTTTGAAAACCATATTCTCATGCAAACTTTGCATCCCCATAAAGTAATCTGGACACTAACAAGGAATATTTATACTCAAAACAATCGGTGAGAATCCACACAGCTTAAGTAGCAGAAACAAGATCACCCTTCTCCCGTTGCCTGCGATGCTCTTGTCTCAGAGACCGACTGAAGCTTTTTCAATGTGCCACACTTATTGTCAATGTAGGGCCGGTACATTGGCTCTTCCCTGTGCCTGGAAAACTCTTCCCACAGATCTTCACAGAGCTGGCTCCTTCTTATTACATAAGACTCAACTCAAATGTCATCTTCTCAAAGAAGTCTTTCCTCACCATCTGGTCGAAAATGTTTCTCCTACCCCTTCTCCTAGTCACAGTTTTCTTCATGACGCACATCTGAAATTATCCTATTTATTACATTGTTTGCTCATGTATCCCTTGCTTCTCCCGCCACCCACCCATCACCACTACCACCTTTACCCTCCTAAAATGTAAAGCACATGAAAGCAAGGCTATTTTTTGCCCTGTTTAATTCCTAGAACATGTCTCACATACAGGAGGCACTCAATACATTTTTGTTATATAATTATCAGTACAGGTTAACTCTGAAGAAACTTTATCTGTTGCATTATAGAACACTGATTATAAAAGGGTTTTTAAAAATATTTTGTAACATTCAATTCCTTATCATGTACTTTTTTCTTTTTTAATTGAATTATGACTTACATTAAATGCACAGATCTTAAATGTATAGTTTCATAAATTTTGACAATTACAAACCCACTTAACCCACATCCCAATCAAGATACAGAGCATTTCAGTTGCTCCAGAAAGTTTACTTTGCCCCTCCTATTCCTCTCCACAGAGGCAAAAATTATTCTGATTTCTAGCACCTAGAATAGTTCTCCCTGCTCTTAAACTTCATATAAAAGAAATAATACAATGGTATGCTTTTACGGGCGGGGAGGCTGGCTACTTTCCCTCAACATTATACTTCTAAGATTTACCCATATTGTTACATTTAGTCATAATTATTTATTCTCATTGTTGTGTAGTGTTCCCTTGTATAAATATTTTTCTATTATTTTTCTATTTTTCTGTGGATGTATATGTGGTTTATTCTCAGGCTTTTGGGGCTATTACAAATAAAGCTGATATGAGCATTCTTAAACAAGTCTTTTGTGACATATATTTTCATTCTCTTGGGTAAATACCCAGGAGTAGAATTTGTTTTAAACCAATCTGCCTGCTCAATGTAGCCACACAAGTATGCTTAGGCAACAGGAGAACCACCTACCCAATCCACAGAATCAGAACAAATTACTGCATTTTGAATTGGTTATTATGCAGCAATGAAAACTAAAAAGGTATTTAATCTCATGTTCTCTGGAACAAGATTGCCTGGTTTTGAATGTCAGCTCTTTCACTTACCAGCTACTTGACCATAGGCAAGGTATTCAGCCTCTCTGCGGAGTCAGATGTCCAACCCTTATTCCTCATCCACGATTTTCACTGGGTACGTGACTATCCAGCTAGATTACATTTCCCAGCCTCTCTCACACTTATTAACCACATGACTAAAGAATGTGAGCTGAATCAATGTGTGCCATTTCTTAGTCTGGACTTTAAGATATTGGGCATGGGCTTCTTCATACCCACTTCCCTTTCTAAAAGACTGAGACATAGATAGGCTCACAATCTACTTTTAATCATGCAAAGACAAAGACAATGTCCTAGAAAATGATGGAGAAACAAGATGTAAGAGACATTGTTTCTTTATGACTACATGGAGTAGAGCTGCCCAACAGTGTAGGCTCCCCAGACTACCAGAAGCTTCTCTACTCTTTAAGCCACAGTATTTTTCTGTTTCTTTGTTACAGTACCTTTCCTTTTATCCTAATATACTCCCTATGCTTTACTTTAAAATAATGCTTGAGGTCAATTTGAAATTGGTTGATGTTCTCTTCATGAAGTGGAAATAATAGGAGCATTATAAAGTTATTAGAGTCTGTCAATACTCCCATACAGGAAACATGTCTTTTTATAATTGAATACAATAAGATAGTCTACCAATGTACAAGAAAATTTCTTATAATTCAGTATATACCACAATATAGTCAAGGCTTTAAAAAGTTTCTCTCATTTTGACTTTAATAGAAAAGTATTCTAAGAGCAGTACTCAAAGTATTCAACCCACTATTGGGCTAAGATTAGTTGTTCATGTTAGCAATGTATATTTTTGAAGTATCCAATCTCAATGCTTGACCAAATGAGATGAAGTCCTTGTTTTAATTTGGTTTTTCACAACTTCTAATTTCCTAAGATTAAATGAGGCAAATTGATTTTTTCTTTGCCAGATTTGATATACTATTGAAGAGCATAAAGACCTACTTTCTATTTCGTGGTCTATTCCTTTACCTTGATGGTCAATCATGAAGACAACATGATTGAGTGAAATAAATTTCTCCTTACTGCTTTTAAAGCAATGGTGCTCATTTGAGTATTGGACAACTAGAAACATAGGAAAAAGTAGACAAATTTTATGGGAAGGGATTAAGCACAAATACCTTATTTAAATATTCATGCTTAAAAAAGAATTCTCTCTGAAATCTCTCATATTTAGAGTAGTTCTTATACAGCAGGAATTTTGCTAAACTTGTTGCAAGCTTTGAGCAGATGTGAAACAAAGCAAAATGTGACCCAATGTTACCAGAGTCTGAAAAATTCACAGAACTGTGCTATTTTACAATAGTCTGCCAAAATTCATATTGAATGACTCATTAGAAGTTTATAAAATAAAAATAGATAAAATATGCATAAAGCCTTACACACAGTATACATAAAGCCTTATTGCTTTTTCATGTTTTCATAGCTGTTACAGAATTTGTTTTAAAATTGATGCTAACGTGCCTGAGTGAATAACCATTTAATTCAAGAATAAAATGAAAACAAGCTTAGTTGTACATTTCTTCATGTATCTATACATATGAGTAGATTCTTGATGTGTTAAGGCCTGTTTCAGCAGTCTAAGATTAATCAGTATGGGAAATAAAAGACAAGGAACAAAAGCCAATACTCAATTCCAAGATATTAGGAATATTAGAATCCCTGTGAGGGGAGAAGTCAATGGTAATTTATGTAAAATAATTTGGAGATACGTTGAATAATAATCAGGCAAACTCTCTTTAGAATGAGGTTACAAGGGACAGTAGGGCTGGTACAAAGACAATATATTTTCTTCTGTCTACAAGAATGGGCTGGAACCTCATCAGGAATATGAACTGGTACCATCACCCTTCCAATTTAGACCTATGGTTTGATTGAGATATGTAAACAAATACATACTAGAAGTTAAACAAATTAACACTAGTCACCCCACCAAATTCAGTTCGCTTGCACCTAGATTCCTAATGCATATTTCTACTAGAAGTCTGGCAATTAGCAAACCAGGTTTTGAGTTGTAGATGTTGCTTTTAAGGGAAAGGTTTTATCTTCAACTTTAACTCTTTCAGATTACTTAATATTTATAAAGGAACTAATTATGACTTTACAGTGAGGAAATCTGGCAAATACTACCTCAAATGAGTGACCAAAGTTAACATCACCAATAGGCGAACTGACATATTTGCCTCTTGACATTGTATACTGAAAACATAGAACCCTAACTTTTTTTAGTATGACTACCCAAAATTAATAGCCTGAATCTAATCGTGTTATGCATCAGGAGGGAACATCAGATAAAATAAAGGACTTTTTACAAAACACTGGTCTATACTCCTCAAAAATGACAATGTCTTGAAAGACAAGGGTAGAGAAACTATCCAAATTAAAGGAGGTTTGAGGAGACATTAGGACTAAACGCCATGCATGATCCCAGGTTAGATACTCTACTAGGGAGTAAATTGCTATGAAAAACTTTAAATATGGATTGCATTTCATGAAAGGGTATCATTAAAATGTTATGTTTCCTGAATTTGATAATTACACTATGACTATATAAAAGAATGTCTCCATACTTAGGAAGTACATGCTTTAAGTAAAATACAGGCTTAAGCCAAGGAACGCAATGACTGCAACCTATTCACAAAAGGTTCAGGAAATATTACATAGATATAAAGAGGGAAAGTATGATACAGCAAATATGATAAAATATTAATAATTAGTGAATCTGGATAAAGAATTTATAGGAGTTCTTTATGCTACTCTTCCAACTCTTCTTTAAATTTTTTTTTAGATTTTAATTCCAGTAAATATTTTATTAGAATTGTTCTTCTGTTTAATAATTTCAACTTCTATTTTAGATTCAGGGGGTACATGTGCAGGTTTATTACATGAGTATATTGTGGGGTGTGGAGGTTTGGGTAGAATGAACCCATCATCTAGGTAGTAAGCATAGTACCCAATAGTTAGTTTTTCAACTCTTGCCCCCTCCTACCCTCCCCCACAGTAGTCCCCAGTGTCTATTGTTGCCGTCTTTATGTGATGAGTACCCAATGTTTACCTCCCACTTCTAGGTGGGAACATGTGGTATTTCATTTTCTGTTCTTGCATTAATTTGCTTAGGATAACAGCCTCCAGTTGCATCTGTGTTGCAGCAGCGGACATGACAAAAAGACACATGCACACATATGTTCATCACAGCATTATTCACAATCGCAAAGACAGAATCAACACAGGTGCTCATCAATAGTGTATTGCATAAAGAAGATGTGGTACATGTACACTATGGAATACTACAGTCTTCTTTAAATTTAAAGTTAAATTTAAAAGCATTTAAACTTAACTCTAAACACATGAGGTTATTAAAACTTGAAAGATAAGAAAAGTCATCATTGCTTTCAACACACATTATCTTGGTAAATAATGTTGGTGAGTTCCAGAACTTAAAAAAAATGATGTTTATCTCTTGGTAACCTAATAACACAGATAATTAGAGCTATTCATTAAACAGCTAGTTTTAACTATTCCTACACATGTTTGAAATGGACATTTTTCAGAGTGCTTTTCTTTCACAGTAGTTCCATTGGAAATATCTGAGGAGTGAGAATGTTTTCAGTGGACATTGTCAACCACTTAACATCCAGAAAGCTAAACTTTGAATATCATAAACGTTTATTATAAGGTGCACTCTAAATCCAAAGAACCATGGCTCCCCTACAAATTCATTCCCTCTGTATTACTGGGCGCCTGTTATGTGTCTGGAACTAAGTCATTTGCAGGCCGTCTTAAACCACATCCATCATTTCCAGTAAACTAGCAGTTCCCAGACAGGTGTCTCTAGGTCAGGCCTCTGTCCAGAGCTGCAGAGTCACATGGGCCACAGCCTACTGTGCAGCTTCACTTAGATGTCTCACAGGCATCTTCACCTGTACCTGCCAAACTAAACTCTCATCTTCCCCTTCAAATCTGCATATCCTTCCATCTTCTATTTCAACAAACATTGAATCTTTTTAGTTGATGCAGGGAGAAACATGGGGGTCACCTTTGCATCCTCCATCTTCCTCTTATTCACATTCAATGAGTTCAAGTCCTACTGATCCTATCCTCTCTAAATATAGCAATTTTTTTTTTTTTTGAGATGGAGTCTCACTCTGTTGCCCAGGCTGGAGTGCAGTGGCACAATCTCGGCACACTGTAACCTCTGCCTCCTGAGTTCAAGCAATTCTCTTGCCTCAGCCTCCAAAGTAGCTGGGATTACAGGCGTCTGCCACCACGCTCGGCTAATTTTTGTATTTTTAGTAGAGACGTGGTTTCACCATGTTGGCCAGGCTGGTCTAGAACTCCTGACCTCAGGTGATCTGCCCACCTTGGCTTCCCAAAGTGCTGGGATTACAGGCGTGAGCCACCACACCAGGCCTTTTTTTGTTCTGTTTTGTTTTTGTTTTTGAGTCAGAGTCTTGCTCTGTCGCCCAGGCTGGAGTGCAGTGGCAAAATCATGGCTTATTGCAGCCTCAACCTCCTGGGCTCAAGTGATCCTCCCCTCTCAGCCTCCTGAGTAGCTGGGACTACAGGCATGCACCACCACACTTGGCTTTTTTTTTTTTTTTTTTTTTTTTTGTGGTAGATATGGAGTCTCACTCTGTTGTCCAGGCTGGTCTCAAACCTCTGACCGCAAATGATCCTCCTGCCTTGGCCTCCCAAGCTGCTGGGATTACAGGCACGAGCCACCATGACCAGCCATAAATATATCTTTAATCCATCTATTTTTCTCATTTCCATCTAAGAGAGGAAAGTAAGCTTAGTGGTGAAAAATATGAATTCTGGAATCAGATTACTTGAATTGAAATCCAAGCTGCAATCTCCTAACTGTGTGACCTTGAACAAGTTACTATGCCTCGCTGTGCATTAGTGTCTTCATCTGTAAAACTGGGCCCGTTAATGGTATCCATATTATAGGATTCTTATTGTGAGTACTCAATAAGTGTTCAATATCACTGTCTCCTTTGCCACCACTCCAGTCCAACCATTATCTCTCAACTAGACCAGCCTTGTATTGATCTCTCTAATTCTGCATTTGTGCCTCTCTAACCTACATGACAACTAGAGGATCTTTACAAAACACTGCTGGAAGCATGCAATTCCCCTGCTTAATGCCTTTCAGTGGCTTCCCTTTATCCTTGAATAAAATCCAAACTTTTTTTCAAATACCATATGTCCTTGCATGACCTAGCCTAGTGTTTCTCCAACTTTTGACAGCTGAAGACCACATGATGGGTATTCAGTTGACACAGTGCTACTAATTTCAGGTTAAAAAAAAAAAAACAACCAAAGGCTTATCCTAATATGAAGTAATAAACTGTCACTTAAAAGTAAAAATGATAATGGTTATATATAAGTAAGAAGAATATTGTTTATAATTTTCACCAAGGCATCCAGCTCCACATAAACTTAGTTTAGTTTACATCTATGCATAGACGGTTTATTTTCTTATATTTATTTCTAATAAACTGTAAAATCATAAATAACAATTATGGGCCATCAGCAATGACAATCTAGGGTGAATCTGTCAGAGAGTTCATAACTGAATTAAGCAGAGGACCCAAAAAGTATAGGTGATTTCTCACTGAAGATCACTTTCAAAGCTCTGTCAGATGCTAAGAAAGGAGTAAATCACACAAAACAGAAATGTTAGTGATTTGAACCAATTCCCAATCCAGTCTGATAACATTCAATCCTGGCAGCATTTCTTCTGGTTCTATGGTAGCATTTACATATGGTTTTCGACTAACCCGCAATAATAGACAATCAATTTGTCTGGGACCTAGCACATCATCATGTGCTAGGAAAACAAAACTCGTAGCAACAGAGCCCTTTTCATTGTAGGGCAGTCTTTGCAAAATGATATGCTGTCATTTTACCTTCAACATTAAAAATCACCATACACCAACTTTCAAACAATCAATCAGGTTGTTTGAGATTCTGAGATGACTAAGATATACCACTTGAGCAAACCACTTAAAAATGTATTTCAATGATATAACACTGTCATTATCAGATCATCATGAAGAAATGTTGGCAGGGCGCAGTTGCTCATGCCTGTAATCCCAGCACTTTGGGAGGCCAAGAAAGGCGGATCACTTGAAGTCAGGAATTCAAGACCACCCTAGATAACATGGTAAAACCCCATGTCTACTAAAAATACAAAAATTAGCCAGGCATGGTGGTGTGCACCTGTAATCCCAGCTATTCGGGAGGCTGAGGCAGGAGAATCACTTGAACCCAGGAGGCAGAGGTTGCAGTGAGCAAAGATTGTGCCACTGCACTCCAGCCTGGGTGACAGAGTGAGTGAGACTCCATCTCAAAAAAAAAAAAAAAAAAGGAAAATATGTTTAAATTATTTCCTCATTGCAAAAACTTGTATTTATTATGTTTATGGTTTATTTCTTATCTCCTCCCCTGGAATGTATGCTCCACAAAGGCATTGTGCTTTTTATCTGACTTGTTCACCACAATGTCATCAGAACCTAGTAGCTGCTCAGTGAATATCTGTTACAGAAATCAATAGATCTATGGTAAATGACTCTGGCCATTTTCCCAAACCTGTACCATAGATTTTAAAATCGTATAAAAATTGATTAGTAACAATGGTTTTTATTGAAGATCAAGTGTGATATGGTCTTAAAGATTCAGACTTAGACTTGAATTCCTGCTCCATCACTTAACTTAATCACTTTGTGACTTTGAGCCTGAGCCTCCATTTCCATTTCAAAACAATGGAAATCATGACACCTACCTCTGTAATTATTGAAAGAATTGAATTTGATAAGTGTGCACAATTTCTCAGCACAATGACTAACACATACTAGTTATTCGTTAAATGTTAGTAAGCTCCATTTCCCTTTTCTCTTTCCTTTTTGATTACAGTCAGAGTTACTTCCTCTGTCTGACAAAGGCTGAGCAGGGCTGGCAAAGGATTTTATTTTGCATGTCAGTCAGTATGTGTTCACTGCCTGGAACACTAGGTGAAGAAGAATTTGGCAGCCATGTCCAGATTCAGCAAATCAGCCCCATGATATCCACCCTGGCATTGGAGGGGAGAATGACAGCACCCGAGCAGAATCTACCATCCTGGATTTATAGACTCACCCAACTGCCTCATAAAAGAACCCTCTACTCCTCAAAATACTCATTTGATTTTTCAAGCATAACCATGAGAGGAGCTCTGTTACACAAGCATCAATTATAGAATTATTTCACAGGTTAAGGAAGGTTTAAGGAAAGACG
The DNA here is from genome assembly GCF_000001405.40 of Homo sapiens. Taxonomy (NCBI): domain Eukaryota; kingdom Metazoa; phylum Chordata; class Mammalia; order Primates; family Hominidae; genus Homo; species Homo sapiens. The sequence continues at coordinate 63,192,628 of NC_000014.9, forward strand.
GTGGAAAATCTATATTTCTACAAAGGCTTGTCAAACCAATTGAGCTGTCACTTCATTTTATGAAGTCTGCTGCTTTCAGTATATGCAGGCCTGGGTTTAAGACCATGGAGGTTTAGCTAATCAGGCTTCACAAATCCTATGTCCTCAACAGGATTTTGAAAACCCACATTTACTAGAAGGAAGCTTCTCCCAGTGACATAAAGAAAATGTCAACATTTCTGTAAAAGATCTTCAGTCCAGAATAATTTAGGATTAAGTATTGTATTGATCCCAGTGGTGTAAAAAATACTAAGAATAAGTGCATGAGACAGATGTTAACTGAAGAAAAAAGTTTTAGAAATGGTTATAATTACTCTCCTAAGTATTCATCAAGTGGACTAGGGCCTGTAACTGTATCTCTTATGTCCTCATAGTGTAGAGAATGTGATAGCTTAATTTTTTAAGTATGTATTATGTCCAAAATATATTTCGGAGGAAGGAAGAGACTGAAAATGATACTTAGTTCTTTTCTTTTAGTTGTAACAAAGGCAGTTAACTTGTCTAATAATAAGCTTTTGTACCCAAAGTAGAAGGAAATACACATTTCCCATTTGCACCAAATTTACCTACCAAAAAATAAATATATCAATCAATAAATAAAAACAAAACAAAAGATTAGTTGGCTTCTGTTCTATATTAAATCAAGAAATCTGTAGCTACAGATATAGTCATTATATCCAAGCAATGAAGTTTCACACTTACTCACAGTCCCAATACTGTTTTGATTACGCAAAAGGTAGCCATGAAAATGGGGGAGAAGATATTAAGCAGTCATCCTTGATTAAGAAATAGTTGCAATCAGCTGCAGAGATGACACAGTAAGAAGTACATTGTGTTGTCAACACCTTCAGTAAGAACTAAGGCATGTCAATAGTAACCTAAAGTACAAAGTGGAAACTGATACAGCAAAAAACCTGCAGGAGACATGGATTGTAGAACATATCACTAAACACCGCTACATGTTATGGTTCCTAAATAAACAGCCAAAGATTAAAACCAGAGGGTGAAAATTCAGCACAGAACCACCCATTGCTTGTGACCCACCATCTATTCTTAATATAGCCAAGTGATATGGTTTGGCTGTCTCCCAACCCAAGTCTCATCCTGAATTATAGTTCCCATAATCCCCACATGTCATGGGAGGGGCCAGGTGGAAGGTAGTTGAATCATTGGGGTGGTTACTGTCATGCTATACCCATGATAGTAAGTGAGCTCTCACAAAATTTGATGGTTTTATAAGGGTCTTTCCCCCTTTTTTCAGGGTACTTCTTGCTGCCACCATGTGAAGAAAGATGTATTTGCTTTCCTTTCCACCATGACTGTAAGTTTCCTGAAGCCTCCCCAGCCATGCTGAACTGTGAGTCAATTAAACCTCTTTATAAATTACCCAGTCTTGGCTATGTCTTTATTAGCAGCATGAGAATGGACTAATACAGTAAATTGGTACCAGGTAGTGGGGTGCTGCTATAAAGATATCTGAAAATGTGGAAGTGACTTTGGAACTGGGTAACAGGCAGAGGTTGGAACAGTTTGGAGGGCTCAGAAGAAGACAGGAAAATGTGGGAAAGTTTGGAACTTCCTAGAGATTTGTTGAATGGCTTTGACCAAAATGCTGATAGTGATATGGACAATGAAGTCCAGGCTGAGGTGGTCTCGGATGGAGATGAGAAACTTGTTGGGAACTGGAGTAAAGGTCACTCTTGCTATGCAAAGTAACTGTCAGCATTTTGCCCCTGCCCTAGAGATCCATGAAACTTTAAACTTGAGAGAAAGATTTAGGGTATCTGGTAAAAGAAATGTCTAAGCAGCAAAGCATTCGAGAGGTGACAGAGCATAAAAGTTTGGAAAATTTGCAGGCTGACAATGCCGTAGAAAAGAAAAACCCATTTTCTGGGAGAAATTCAAGCCAGCTGCAGAAATTTGCATAAGTAACGAGGAGCCAAAGACACCAAGACACCAAGACAACAGGGAAAATATCTCCAGGGCATGTCAGAGACCTTCATGGCAGCCCTTCCCAATACAGGCCTGAAGGCCTAGGAGGGAAAATGGTTTCATGGCCTGGGCCCAGGGCACCCCTTGCTGTGTGCAGCCTCAGGACTTGGTGCCCTGCATCACAGCCACTCTAGCTGTGGCTAAAAGGGGCCAATGTACAGCTCAGGCCATTGCTTCAGAGGGTGCAAGCCCCAAGCCTTGGCAGCTTCCATGTGGTGTTGGCCTGTATGTGTGCAGAAGTCAAGAATTAAGGTTTGGGAACCTCCACCTAGATTTCAGCAGATGTATGGTAATACCTGGATGTCCAGGCATAAGTTTGCTGCAGGGGCAGAGCCCTTATGGAGAACCTCTGCTAGGGCGGTGCAGACAGGAAATGTGGGGTCAGAGCGCCCACACAGAGTCCCCACTGGGGCACTGCCTAGTGGAGCTTTGAGAAGAGGCCCACTGTCCTTCAGACCCCCGAATGGTAGACCCACTGACAGCTTGCACCATGAGCTTAGAGAAGCCGCAGACACTCAATGCCAGTCCATGAAAGCAGCCAGGAGTGAGGTTATACCCTGCAAAGTCACAGGGATGGAGCTGCCCAAGGCTGGTGGGAGCCCACATCCTGCATCAGCGTGACCTGGATGTGAGACATGGAATCAAAGGACATCATTTTCGTGCTTTATGATTTGACTGCCCTGCTGGATTTCAGACTTGCATGGGGCTGGTAGCCCCTCTGTTTTGGCCAATTTCTCCCATTTGGAATGGGTATATTTACCCAATGCCTGTACCCCCATTGTATCTAGGAAGTAACTGACTTGCTTTTGATTTTACAGGCTCATAGGTGGAAGGGACTTGCCTTGTCTCAGATGAGACTTTGGACTTGGACTTTTGGGTTAATGCTGGAATGAGTTAAGATTTTGGGGGACTGTTGGGAAGGCATGATTGTGTTTTGAAATGTGAGGATATGAGATTTGGGAGGGGCCAGGGGCAGAATGATATGGTTTGGTTGTGTCCCCATCCAAATCTTATCTCGAATTGTAGTTCCCATAATCCCCACGTGTCATGGGAAGGACCCAGTGGGAGGTAATTAAATCATGGGGGTGGTTACCCCCATGCTGTTCTTATGATAGTGAGTTCTCACAAGAACTTATGGTTTTTAAAGAGGCTTTTCCCCCTTTGGTCAGCAATTTTCCTTTCTGCTGCCATGTGAAGAAGGATGTGTTTGCTTCCCCTTCCACCATGATTGTAAGTATCCTGAGGCCTCCCCAGCCAGGCTGAACTGTGAGTCAATTAAATCTCTTTCCTCTATAAATGATCCAGTTTCAGGTATGTATTTATTAACAGCATGAGAAGGGACCAATACACCAAGTAAATAATATGGATTCTATAGCCAGAGGGCCTGTGTGAATCCTGGCTCTGCCACTTCCTAGCTGTATGAATTTAATATCTCTGTGTCTTGGTTACCTCATCTGTAAAATGACACGTTAATTATACCTATCTCATAGAGTTTTGGTAAGGATTAAATATGTTAATATACGCTAACACGTAGTACTAGAATGTTGGCCATTATTATCATGATCATCATTATCACTACTACTACTATTATTATTTTTCACTCTCCTCCTAACGTCAATATCTGGAGTCTCCTCTCTCACCCACATCCCTCATTTTTAGCATAGGGGAGATATGCTGATGGGTTTCAGTCAATCAGGCCCCACCTTGGGTGCTCTTTCTGTGGTTCAGTGGGCACTACAGGTGGGGCCTGATTGACTGAAACCCATCAACACATCTCCCCTAACCCAAACAAGGCAGAGAGAAACCTAGCACTTGTGCAGGAAATGCAGAGATGCTCATTCTCCTCCTTACAGGGCTGGGTTGCTGAAGATGGGAAGCTTACCACCATTGTGTGAGGAGTGACTGGTATGCCAAAGGCCCACTTGTAGAGCTTGAGGATGGAGCCAACCCAGAAGTGAGAGCCAAGAAAAAATCCTAGTGGCAAAACTGAATCCTAGATAAGCCAAACTCAAAAGCCAGCTTCCCTGGAATGTTCATTTACAGGACTGTAAATCACTGCTATGGTCTGAATGTTATGTCTCCACAAAATTCATATGTTGTAACCTTATCACCAGTGCAACTGTATTAAGTGGTGGGGACATTTGAAGGTGATTAAGTCATGAGAGCATCCCCGTGAAGTCATATCCTTATGAATGGGTTAAGTGCCCTTATAAAGATGTCTAAGGGAGCTTGTTCATTCCTTCTGCCATGTGAAGGCATTGTCTAATAAAAACAGGCACTCAGCCAGGCATGGTGGCTCACACCTGTAATCCCAACACTTTGGGAGGCCAAGGCAGGTGAATCACCTGAGGTCAGGATTTCGAGACCAGCCTGGTCAGGATGGTGAAACCCCATCTCTACTAAAAAAATACAAAAATTAGCTGGGTGTAGTGGCACATGCCTGTAGTCCCAGCTACTAGGGAGGCTGAGGCCGAAGAATCACTTGAACCCAGGAGGTAGAGGTTGCAGTGAGCCAAGGTGGCGCCATTGCACTCCAGCCTGGGTGACAGAGCAAGACTCCATCTCAAAAAAAAAAAAAAAAAAAAAAACAGGCCCTCACCTACTTCTGTCCATGGCTACTGGGGTTATAAACACGGAAGAATTTAATTCCTTTCTTTCTTTTGTCCTAGGGGTTTTCATAGATTTGTTTGAAGGTGTTTTTCATACCCACCCCCAGCCCCGACTGTTTCTTCCACTTATCCCATTGAGGGTTGGTCCCCAGATCTTTCCTCCCAGTGTCTCCCAGTTCACCTCACTCTGAATCTGCTGGCATCATGTTCTTGGATTTCCCAGCATCCAGGTGAGCAATAAATTTCTATTGTTTGTAAATCGCTCCATCTAAGGCATTTCGTTATAGCAGCCCAAATGTACTACATCAATCTCTTTTAGCTTAAGCTAGTTGGGGTCCCATTTTGTTCCTTAAATCTATTATGTATTCATAACTATGTTTTATGAGATGTGGGATTATTATATTTTTAATTTAAAAGACAAAAAGTCATTATTTGATACAGATCTCTCAAAAGTCTACACAAGTGAGGCCTTAAGTGACTTGGATCTAGGTCTTAATCATGTAAATATAAAATAGTAGATTTGAAGAGAAAATCAATTCAAATTATAATCACATGTGCCCAGAACATTCCTCCAGCCTTTCATAGTTTTGATAAGCAAACATCGAGTTGTTAAGCAAATCATCTCTATATGCATTGTGTCAAATAGCACATGACCAAACACAGTTCCCAGGACTTCTCCATTTTTCTTTCATATATCAGTCAGGACTCTTTCAAGTGCACGTAATGAATATCTAACCTAAATGAATTTAAACCAAAAAAGGAATGAATTGCCTCATTCAAAAGGGAAATCCAAGTCCCAGGGCTCAAATTGTGTGATCAGGTATATTTTTTCTCTGTCTTTCAGCTGTTTTTCTGTGGTGTAGCAGTAAAAAGCATGAGCTCTAGCAGTAGGCTGCCAGATTTCGAATCCTGGGTCCAGAACTTGTTAGCTGTTTTACACTAACCTTATCAATTGACTTCACTTTGCTTTCAGTTTTTTTAATTATAAAAATGAGAATAATAATAATGTTTACAACCTACGTTTTGGATAAAATGAGTTCAAAAATATAAACTCTTTTATTATCATCATTATCAGCATCAGGCAATCTCTTTCTACCTGGTGGCAAAGATGGCCCCGACAACAGCTTATGTGATCCTTAGTGCGAGGAATTCCAGGGGGCAAGAGCACCTCTTTCCAGAGAGCTTCAGGAAGAGCTCCGGCAACAATTCGCATTTGCCAAACCTGAATTACATGTCCACCCCTGGATCACAGAGTGGGGTCAGCCCCCGCTGAGCAATTTGGACTAAAGGTAGAAGAGAGGGGTTCCTCAAAGGGAAATTGGAGTGCTATCACCAAAAAAGGAAAGAGATCATAGACACAAACAACTATGTTCACTACAGAGCCAACTACACCCTGATTAGTAAAATGGTAAATAATAGTTGTTGCTGTTTTACACAGTGAACAATAGTATTCACGAGAAGGACACAGCCTGTAAGCCATGTTTTAAGAAAATTTTCTTTATTATTTGGGAAGTTAGATTTGATAATTGTAGAAGTCCTCTCCAGATTCAATGAAATTAAGGTTTAGAAAGATCTTGAGACATAATAAAAAAAAAAAGAAAATACAACAGAAATAAGCCTTTGGGTATGTACAGAGTGGGCAGGTATTACTGTGACGGCTCCTCATTCAAGATAACAAACAAACGGCAGTACTCGATCTTTGCTGTCATTGGAATTAGCCATGAATGCTTTATGGATATGGATAGCTTTGAAGGAAGGATCATCTTCCCCTTGATATGGAAGGGTGACCTAAAGACTGGATCAGAGGGCATATGTGAAATTTACAAAGGCCAAATCATTTTAACCATATTGCCTATTTTCCCATTAAAGTCAGTAAAAATGATATTTTATCATATAAAATTAAAGTGAAAAGAAGTTACCTTTCCACTTCCAGAGTAGAAAAAAGAGATACACATTTCATGAAATCAGTTATAATTTTTCAAATTTTCTGAAAAGTGAGGAAAGATACAAAATAATCTCCATATATAATATGGTCAAAACCAATAGAAGCAAATTAAAAGTCACTATTTAACCTTGTTGAAGTGCCACAGTGCTTTTTGTAAATCAGTACAGTCATGAAGTGGAAAACAATAAAAGGAGATTTCATAAAATGTGTGCCTGGAAAATAAACACTTTGCAAGAATTTTGCATGTTAATAATAAGGTAGGAGTCTTTTCTGGGGCACTTAACCTGAAGGCCATGTGTGGCACCATCCACCTTCTGTCCATGGCTACTGGGGTTATAAACATGGAAGAACTTAATTCCCTTTTTGCTTTTGTCCTGGGGGTTTTCATAGATTTGTTTGAAGGTGTTTTTCACCGCCCCCCTCCTCCCCAGCCAAAGACTGTTTCTTCCACTTATCCCATTGAGGGTTGGTCCCTAAATCTTTCCTCCCAGCCTCTATCAAATCTGAGATTTGAGCTGTGGTCTCATTCAAGCCCTAGTAGCTTTCATGACTCTCTTTTTTCTGATACAGATGATTTCTAGATACAAAGTAATTAGCAAATGAACTGTTAATGAAATCTGAGCAGACATATTCAGTCCACAGAATAGAATTACATTTCTTTCCACATTTAGTGCTTCACCAACAAGGGGTTGGTCAGCAACCAGCAGGCTCTCAGGGAAACTTGTATTTGTGTAATCCAGTCCAGTAACCAAAATGCCTCCTTGAATACAACAGAGCACAATGTCCCCAGCTACTGTTGAGGGGCCTTCAAGTCCTCCATCTATATATTAATTTTTTATGACATTGATGCTACCAGAGCATCATAAGTAGAAGGCACATTTTTAGTTGTTTTCTTAGCAGAAGTGGAAAATTTCCACCAATCTGTCTTACTCTCCCAAGAGATCCTTCATACAAAAAAGGAAAAGAGGTTGTGACTTGGCCCCAATCCACGGAAGTTCAGCCTGTAGCACAGACATGATGCTTGCCCAACCAGACGATGACCAACCCTATGACTTTAGCCTTTTTGGACCCATATCACTAACTAGAGGAAGTCATCACCAAAGATCTTTGTCTGACTATAAGATGGCTATTTCTGCAAGCTATTCCCTGCTCTGTGGCCTTGGTGGAGGAACAACCCAGACTACCTCAACACTAAACTCTTCTCCCTTCTAAAGCACACCCCTCCAATCGGAAGAACAGGAATCAATAGGAAAGTTCTTTCTAAACTGTTACCTCGCTTCAGATTTTCTGCATTAACGGAACTTAAAAGTCTCTAATTTCCTGGTTCCCATAGAAAGAGACAAAAAAGGTCAGATAAACCACAGGACTCTCTTCCTCAGAGACAGGGCTTTGTATTCAGAGTTAAGGGATGCAATAATGAAATGCAGAAAAAACACACACACACCTTTATTATTAGTGGCCAAATCAGCCTCTTCTTTCCTAGGAAGGAAAAAGATGTCCCATCTGCCTGTGGCTTGCAAGTCACCTACATCTCTCAGAATTAAGAGATTTGGGGAAAAAAACAGAAGTCTTCCAAGTAAGAAAAAGAAAGCCATTTCTGGAATTATAAAAAGATCATGTCCAAGAAAATGTAACTGATGTGATATGATGTGATGTGATGTGATATGATGTGTGATATATGGCATGATATGACATGGACAATAGCCAGAGGCTGGGTGCAGGTGGCCTCACAGAAGAAAAATGCAGATACATGAGCATCCCTGACAGCAATGACTCACTCCCCTTGGGGAGGGGTGGTTCCAGTCCAGACTAGTCCTAGGATGGCCTGTCCAGTTTTAGCAGTGCCCCTACTGATCTTGAGGTTTAGGTCAGTGGGAGATTTAGGTCAGAACCCCTAGAACTACATAGCCCCTCCTGATTCATAACCATCACCAGTAAAGGCCAGACTCTCACATTAGTCCCAGAAAGGGCTTTCTCTGGAGTGGAAACTCATGACGAGGCAGGGCATCCTGGAATTATCAGAATCACAGCACATCTCATGTTCCTAAGACTGAAGTCAAAACAATATCCTCCATAGAGGCTAATCCAGAATCAGAGTATCTGATCTCATTGCATTACTTCCCTATGTAACTTCTAGCTTCAAGCACAAAAAAAAAAAAAAAAAAAAAAGAGGGGAGTGAAGACTTGGCTCTCTTACTAAGGTCATAATAAAACTGAAAGAAATAAGAACAGTCAGAATTTTACACAAAAATGCCCTGTTGGCATTTGGGGAAATTTGTGTGAAGCCAAATCTCAGAGGACAAGAAAGAGCTAAGGAATTAAGGTCTCTTGGAAAAAGCAGAAAATATCACCCAAAAAGATTTCACCACATTCTGGTAAGTTTGTGTAAACTTGGTGCTTGAAGTAAACCAAATAATTAATGGCTACACAACCACCACTCAATCATTTTCATGGCCCAAGATCCAAAAGCACAGGCATCTGGTAAAGAATATTTTAGCAAATGGTCTTCATGCCACTTCTAAATGCATACCTGTCAACCTTTGGAATTGATGGACATTATTGACCATGCTACCTGGGCAAGCAATCAGAATTCTGTGGACTCATGGACCTATAAAAACAATGATGAATTGTCTTTATTTTTTTTCAAGATTCTGTTATTCTGGTTCAGATCCAATTTTTAATATTTAAAAAGATTTAGTTTCACATGGACAACATGATCCACATAATCACCAGGCTGAGATGTTAAGAATTTTAACTTTTTTGCCACTTTTAATAGGATGTCTCAAAATCTTTTCTCCATAAATATTCATTTTGGTGTGGGTGTAGTAAATAGTGATAAACCATGTTTGTTTTGAGAAATATAGCCAACATTCTCAATGGTCATAACCCATCTTTGCATATAACCCAATCTGGCAGATGTACCAATCCTTTCAGTTAGAGGTAAAGGATCTATAACTAGATACTTCAAGTCTCCCAGATGTCTTAATTCACAGTTCACATAGAAATCAGAATGGATTTAAATGTCTGTGTCTGATGGCATAAGATTTAGGCTATAAGTAGATATAGCAAAATTTCACCTCAATCCAATTTCTCAATTTTTTCCTAGACCAAGTACTCACTGGGCTGGGGCATGTTGTAGTGTTGGGATAAAAGCTTTTAGTTGACCAGGGTAGACGGGCATGTTTTATAACTCCATGAATGGAGTACCATGCCACATTCACTGCCCAATCTCAGGGACAAAGTCAAAGGAAGAACCTTCTCAACATTCTGCCAAATACATATCATCACTGTGCTCATTAGGCTCAGCGTGATTGTGCTCATCTTCAGGATGAAGTCTTGTCACTGCCAATCACTCTTTTATCTGCACAGATTTGTTTGGCTGCCACCTTCATACTCAAGCCTCTTTTCTAGAAGCAAAATATAAGTTTTCACATAGTAATTTTGTTATCACATATTCTAGGTGTTCAAGGTAGGCTAAATGAGAATAAAATTATATAAATCACATGAAGTCATAGGTGTCTTCAAATGCTTCAGAATGGCACTAAACATAAACAATTCAACTTCCATATTGCAAATAAAACCTCAGCTAAATGATCTGTGGTTGCCACACAGGCTGTTCACCAATATTTGGTCCTCTCCTTTCTGATACATGGTAGGATTATACTTCTGACCCCCCTGTTGAACCCAGCATGTCATTTGCTTTGACCAACAAATATAAGCACAAGTGTCACTTCCAGGAGGAAGCCTTAAGAGTCAATAGGATGTCTCAAAATTTTTTCTCCATAAATATTCAATTTGGCACGGGGGTAGTACCTCTTCGTCATATTCATTTCTTCCTCTACCATGATGATCATCAATATTCTCAATATGACTGCTCTATCGGCCTAGATCCCTGAATAAAGATGATAACAATATACAATAGAGATACAATGTGAGCAATAAATATACTCATTTAGCTTCAGGGATTGTTTCTTACTGCAACAGAACCTGACTGATACACCATAACTTGACTGAAACACCATCCCTTTATAGGAAAGAAAGGCTTGGACACTAAGCACTGTGATAAATGTTACTATAATCCAAAACAGAAGAAACTAGAGACTATACCTATTATATGGCAGCATATAGATGATATGTGGGTATATCTATTACAGACTTTTCTCCCATCTCACCCCTCATCAAAAAAAAAAAATTCTCAAACATTTGGATAATCTGAACTCTTCAAAATCAATGTTCAAAAAATGAAAGTGAAAAAAACAGAGTTCCGTCATTTTGACCCATTTGTCAAAAATCATTTGCAGAGTTCCACTTCTTTTCTAAGACCAAGCACATTAATCAAATACAGAGCTTCAAAGGGACTTCATTTTGAGTGACCAAACAGACAAATAAATTAGCTGCCCATGGCTCCTTTGTAATTGAAGAGGACCCGTCTGACCCAAGGGGAGAAGACTAAATCAAAAAGCAAAACATCCAAGTAAAAACAGCATCGAGGGCCTTAAACAAACCAAAAAGCCATCCTATACCCTCTCCTGTCCAAGGGTGTTAAGTATGAGCCAAGCACATGTGTGTTTATCTACTAATAAGAGAATGCAAACATCCCACATGTGATTGATTTCTTATGTGCTACCATCATAAAAAAAGTTTGTGTCTGGAATACATATTCCAGACATGTGGCAGTTTATAAACCTGATCATACATATTATACCTACAACTTACAAAACTTTTTCTCTTTGAAATGATGTGACTCTGGAAGGTTTTCTTCTTTATTTCTGGGAAGAATCGCTTAAAGTTTCTCATTTAAGTAAAGAACTGCTCGTTTTTAGTTTGCAGAGCTTTTAACTAGTGACTCAGTGAAGAGTGATGTCATATGTTATCCCAGGACTGCCGGTGTGGTTCTCTCTGCTCGCTCTAACCATTCCCCCTGCTTCTGTGGCAGGCAGTAATCCCCGCTTTCCATCCTCTAGTCAGCTTCTTCCCAGCCAGCCACAAGCGAACAGGCTCGCAAGCAGCGGATGAAACAGGAAGTCTGACAGCTTGAGTCTGCAGTGGGACCCCTAGTGTTTTCCCACTCCATGTCCTGGCATCGTTCCCCAGAAGTACAAACACACACACACAGAGCTCCCATTGTTGCAGCCTTCCTCAGCCCACTGATCCTAATATGGAATTCAGCAGGAAACCCATGATTTCCTGACACTCGGCAAGCTGGAGGAAGCAAAGGGAAAAAAACTCCATTAAAAAGCCCAGCTTTCCTCCATGTTAGATGTGACTTGGAAAATGAGAAAGATTTAGCAAAATTCCACCGTATCTTTTGCCAGGCTAGAGACAGGGAGAGCAGAGTAAAACCCTCAGGCTGCTGAAATTTCTAGGCTGTTAGGAAGCCCCTCGAATTCTGTGAAAATGAGGGTTTCTTAACTCACACTGAGAGCGGAAAGGGGCAGACCCTTTTCATAACTCCCTCAAGTGTGTGTTACCTTTCTTTACCAGCATGGTAAGCAACAGGACATATCCCAGCCTCGGACATGTCTGTATGATCCAAGGTACCCAAAGTCAGACAGAGTAAACTCAAGCCTGGCACTGGCTTTCTGCCGCTTCATGTGCTTTGGAAAAAGCAGGAGAAGCAATAGCAGCAGGAGTCCCCAGCAGCTGGAGCCGCAAGAATGAACTGCAAAGAGGGAACTGACAGCAGCTGCGGCTGCAGGGGCAACGACGAGAAGAAGATGTTGAAGTGTGTGGTGGTGGGGGACGGTGCCGTGGGGAAAACCTGCCTGCTGATGAGCTACGCCAACGACGCCTTCCCAGAGGAATACGTGCCCACTGTGTTTGACCACTATGCAGGTAAGAAAAAGTGGGAAACTCTCTGCATCCAGACAAACGATGCAGGGGGCGAGACCCTAAGTTCAGAGGGGCCTGGCTCATTTCTAATGTCAGTATTGGGTGCGGGCCTGGCAGTAACCAGGGAGCTTAGCGTAGCATACAACCCAGGACTTGACTGTTGGTAGAACAATTTGTGCATCAATGTGTATGGTAACACTTTTCCCCCGTAAAACGAATGGCAACGCCAGGAAAATACTCTGACGTGCCCTCTAGATTTGGGGGCCAGAGCTTTTACTCAACATTTGCCTCAACATTCATTAAAGTTTTACTGTGAACATTTTTAAATGCAGTGGAATTGCATCACAATTCTTTTCTGCCAAAAAAAAAGAATCACCACTAGACACACAAATGGTGAAAGGATTGTTCTTGCCGCTCTTTGCGTATTCACCTCATGCCATTTATAAATGAAAATGCTAAGATTAATAAAACACTCATTTTTTCTATAACAATTGGTGCTATAATACTATAGTTTTGTTTTCCTGAGGTTGTAGATTGGGGGAGAGTTTTTAAAAGGTTTTAAATATCTATTAGGCAATCTGTATCTTAAAAGAAAAATATTTAATTAACATGTTTTTAAAAGGAAAAATACAAATAAAATCTGAATCACTTTAAAGTATGTCCTGAGAGGACAAAATGCACATAAAATATTTTAAAGCATGGCAGTTAAGACATTGTAGTCACAACTTACAGGGGACCTTTTGTTTTGCGAGTGTTCTAAAGTTTGTAGGTGTACTTGTCTGGGTGATAGCATTATCTAAATTCTTCCATTTTGATTCTTTCTTTTTCTGTTAATTTCCAAAACAAATTTTATTAAGTTTATCAAAAGCAAGTTAATGAAATTCTTCAAGCTTATGGTAGCCTACATTTTATAACTTTTTTATCATAGTGATCTTTATCAGAGATCTGAGACCTTGTGAATGGAAAATTTCTCCTCCTTCATTTTGGCTTTGGGTCAGGTTCAACAAAGGGGAAATGGCCCACAGGAAACCAGCATGAGTGTCTGCTTGGCAATGTGGCCATTTGAAATCCTCCTTCTATAGAAAGTAGCTTCTTTTCCAGAACTAAGCCATCACCTAAGTCACTGCTTCCCCCTACACTTACATGATGTATGAAAATGTTACACAGCAGACAGGGAGAGAACCACAGTGAATACAGTATCCATTTCCCAGCAGGTTTTTCTATATTTGTAGAAATTAAGAGCAAATTTTAATGCTGGCTCACTTAAGCCTTTCTGAAAATATAATGACTATGCCCAGAGAAGAACATTTTAATGAGAACAGAATAAAGAGAAGAACAGGTTGACTTTCATCTTGAGAAAAAAACTAATTATAAAATTTGGGGGTCTGCGCCTTGAGAAAGTTCCTCAGATTCTTCTCCTGAAACCATCTTAGCAAAAGTTATTTACTCTACACCTTCTTTCTGCCAAGAAAGGGAAAGTGGCTACCTTATTTCAAAAACTTTTAAATCAAAGGCGGAACTGAAAACCTAAAGGGAGAGGCTTCAAATGCCTATGAAACTTATGTATCCAAATCCCCATGTATTCAGGAAGCCAGTTACAGTATGGTATCAGGAAAAAAGAGAATCAAGTCAGCCTATAAAAAATCTACACTAGAAATCAAACAAAGGCTGAACCACAACTAGATTCCACTAGGCTCCAATAATTTTATGTTTTAATAATGTACATACTTACTATTGTTGAGCATTAAAGCATCTTAAAGATTTCGGCTAGTCTATTATTTTAGCTCCCAAGAAATCACAGCCACTATACTCAGAGCAATACTTTGCACATAGTAAGCATTCCTAAACATGGTTACTTTGATGTACACTTTGTACCTCTTTAAGTATATAATCGTCTCATGTGGTTTCAGTAAGGTTAAAAAGAGGATGGAGACATGAACCACATACATCTAGGACTGTAATGAAGTGGTCATTTCTTTTCTTTTCTTTTCTTTTTTTTTTTTTTGAGACAGAGTCTTGCTCTGTCGCCCAGGCTGGAGTGCAGTGGCATGATCTCGGCTCACTGCAACTTCCACCTCCTGGGTTCAAGCGATTCTCCTGCCTCAGCCTCCTGAGTAGCTGGGACTACAGGCGCACGCAACCATGCCTGGCTAATTTTTGTATTTTTAGTAGAGACAGGGTTTCACCATGCTGGCCAGGCTGGTCTTGAACTCCTTACCTCGTGTTCTGCCTGCCTCAGCCTCCTAACGTGCTGGGATTACAGGCGTGAGCCACCGCGCCCAACCAGAAGTGGTCATTTCTATAAGCAGAGGGATCTTCTCCACCACAAAGACTTGAGTTCCTTTTACCACCACTCTCCTGGTATATGACCTGGTTGAACATAAATCCTTAGGCAGTCACGTGAGAATCTACAATCAATTGTAAAAAACTAAATGCCCTCTTCTCCATTTGGATCCAGTATCTAATTCCTGGGTCCTACTGGCCTACTTTAAAATGACAACCTGCAGTTGAGTGCTGAGACTTTAGAAGCTATAATTTAAGTCATAGAGAGCCTATCCATTGAAGACTTTTTACTAATAACTGCCCAACCCAGAAAAGTAGAGATAAAATAGTAAGGATGGAAATACAACCTACTGTGCAAGATGGTGATCTCTGAAGTCAGACAGCCCGGTTCTAATACTGGCTCTGTCATTTACTTTGTGGCCTTGAGCAAGTTACTTAACCTCTCTGTGCCTCAGTTATCACAAATGAGAAGCAGGGACAATTAAGGTATTAGAATTGTGTGTGAGAACAAAGTGATTAACATATGTAAAGTTCTTAGAACAGTGCCTCATGTGTGATAAGAGTTAGGTACATGGTAGCTATTAAGAATACAGTCTCGATACTTGCATACAGCCAGGAAAAGGAATGAAAATGTAATTAAAAGATAAAGACTACAAGAAGGAAAAATGTAAT
The DNA here is from genome assembly GCF_000001405.40 of Homo sapiens. Taxonomy (NCBI): domain Eukaryota; kingdom Metazoa; phylum Chordata; class Mammalia; order Primates; family Hominidae; genus Homo; species Homo sapiens. The sequence continues at coordinate 63,208,000 of NC_000014.9, forward strand.
TACAAGAGTATCCTTTAGAAGAGTAAGGTAGGATGGAGTGTATGTATTTTCTTCATAAAATAGTTACCATGTTTACTGATAATTAACAATATGTTTATATGAGGTAATAGTAATAGGATATTAAATTGGGAGGGGAAATATCAGTTTTGCATGAGTAAAAACTACGCAAAATTATTTTGAATGAGTTTATTTTTGCAGGAAAAATCAACGACCAGCTACAAAAAACAATTTTTAAAGTTCTACGAATTCTGATGTATCCCTACCTCCTACCTACCAAAATCCAAAAGCACATCTGCTCCATGTAGCTTTCCTTGACTCCCCAAGAATAATTCCCTGTTCCATCTCCAATCCAGTTTCACAAATTTGTTTACATCTCTAGGATCTTCCACTATTGTATAACAATTTATATGCTTCCTTATTTTCCCATCTCTGCTGTGCTGGGAACCCCTTAAGGGAAAGGAGCTGTGTCTTTCATGTCCTGTGAAATCCAACAGTCAATTCTAGGTCCTCCTCTTGATCTCTTGGAAGCTTTTTTTATGGTTCATTACCCTCCTTCCTAAAACATTTTCTTGGCTTGGTTTCTGGGATGCCACATTCTCCTGGTTTTGTTTCCACTCAACAGCAAATCTTTCTCCATCTCCAATGCCACCTCCCCTCTGTCTTCCCAACCACCAAATGTTCGGAAACACTGAAACCTCAGTGTTCAGTCCCTGGGTCCTCTTCTTTATTTACACTTAGGGTATGCTTGATTGTATCTAGTTTTGTAACTTTAAACATCATTCATATCCTGATAACGGCAAAACTTGTAGCTCCATCATCAAAACCCTCTGAGACTCAGATTCATATATCCGACTATTTGAATATCTAATAGGCATCTCATTCTTAACCTGTCCAAACTGAATTTTTTAACTTCCCCAAGCTACTCTTCCCCTAGGCTTCCCCATGTATGTACATGACCACTCTTTTCCACCCGGTTTCTGAAAACAAAAACTTTGGTATTGACTCCTTTCTTCCTTTGACAACATTCCCCTCCCTTTCCATTTAAACCATTAGTTATCATCCCTTCCTCCTACCAATCAGCTCAACATTCAAAATACATCCCAAACCTGATCACTTATCACCGTCTTCATTGCCTTCATTCTTGTCCAAGCCACCATCATCTCTCATCCAAACTACTATAATCAATTCCCAATTCCCTACTTCCAATCTTGCCCCCTATCATCAATTCTCCACATAGCTGGCAGAGGGACTGTCCCAAACCCCAACTTCTCCAATCACTTCCCTTAACACTCAGACCCAACCCTATATTATGTTGTATATGATGCACTCCATGACTCAGTCCCTGTTATCTCTCCAATCTCATCTCTTAACACTCTCCTCATCAGTGTTTTTGCTTTAGCCACACTCACCATCTTGTTATTCCTCAAGCACACCCAACTCCTTCCCTTGAAGAGTTTGTACTTGCTTTTTCCCCAGTCTCATACTATTCCGCTAGATCCCCCCTAGCTTCAATTGACCACATTATTTAATGCATGTGTGCTTGCACACACACACACTCTCTTTCTCTCTTTAACCTATCTTGCCACATCTTTCATTATAATAGTTAATACTACCTGATATTATATATGTATTTGCTATCTCCAGCTTCAAAAAACAAAGTCCTGCATATTATAGACACTCAACAGACTCTCAACTCAGATTATTCTCAACTGAATAAATGAATTACTATGTCTTTGCAATCTTAGTCCTTCCAACACTTAGATAGTTTCTGGTCCATTAAAACTTTGATGAATAAATGAACAAATTGCTTGTCCAATAGATATCTGTTTAGGAATGAACATACAAAAATGTTTATTATATTTATTATATTTCTGAACTATTTTATTCATATTTTAAATAATCATTTTATCCCCACTGTAACTGTAATATAGCATTGAATTTTCTTTTTTTTTCCTTTTTTTTCTTTTTTTTTTTTTCTTGAGACAGAGTCTCACTCTGTCACCAGGCTAGAGTGCAGTGGCACAATCTCAGCTCACTGTAACCTCTGCCTCCCAGATTCAAGCGATTCTCCTGCCTTAGCCTCCCAAGTAGCTGGGACAATAGGCACGTGCCACCACGCCCAGCTAATTTTTTTCTATTTTTAGTAAAGACGGGGTTTCACCATGTTGGCCAGGATGGTCTTGATCTCTTGACCTCGTGATCTGCCCACCTCAGCCTCCCAAAGTGCTGGGATTACAGGCGTGAACCACCACGCCCAGCCAGCATTGAATTTTCTTGACCTAAGTGGCCAGTGTCACATCTACTGAATAGCTTAACTATATAATGTGTAAATATCACTTGGGATTCCTTCATCTACATTATGTTCAAAAGCTGACATACATTTTGGGTGCCTCACTCAAACTCCTCTAGTTCTAATATACAGAGCATATTTCAGAGTAACCCTAAGTTCGGCTGACGGCTAGGTCTAAAGGGTAGGAGCAGTGGGATGAAGGTGGGAAAAGTCACTCTTGTTTATTACAAGTGTGCCTAAGAAACAACCCTGGGCTCTGCTCCTTACTCCCTTCCAGGGATGACTCAACGCGTCCCAACAACCTTTAGAGCTTTCACAGCTTACCATGGAAGAATTGCATTTCTTCCCCCATCCTATCTTTAGTTTTGAGTTTTGTAGCAGACCCCTCACTGGTAAAATATTCTTACCGATTAATGTTTCACTTGACATATAGCATAAGGATAAGAGCTCCATTTTGAATTTAGATTGTATGTTGAGTTAGATTGTGTACATGGTTTATATGTCGGGGTACATAGGTGTGTAAAATAAGCTCATTCCAGCTGAAACCTCTTTACGATGTTCACCATTTCCACCATCCTCTGTATTATTTTGTCTGTGAATCTTTCTTCTATCACCCACCCTCCTAGAGCTTCTTTGTTGAAAGCCATCAAATTTGGAAAACCACATGAAGCCACTATTTGCAAACCCAGGCTGCCTATGCAGGAAATTAACACAATTCATGGAAAGAAGAGAAATCCAGTTACTCTATCAGCTGATTGAGATGTAAAAGGAAGTTGTTTTTACAGAAAGCTGAAAGTCAGTTCTAACTTTTTCCACTTAGTTAAATGGTGATCAGCCCAAGGTAGACAGTCATAACCTTAATGGCCAGAGCAGGGAGTGGGAAACAGGTCCAATCCACAGGGGGAAAAAATAACATAATTATAATAAATAGTGAATAAAAATAAAGTCCCAGGTTTATAAAAGGTTGTGACATAGTTCTGCTCATTTGGGAAAATTTATTCATAAGTTTCTCTTTTGCTCTTTCTGAAGACACCCGAGAGTCTCTCATATCTGTAATCCCAGTGCTTTGGGAAGCCAACGCACAAGGATCCCTTGAGCCTAGAAGTTCAAAGTTATAATGAGCCATGATCATGCGACTGCACTCCAACCTGGGCAACAGAGCAAGACTTCATCTCTAAAAAAAAATTATGGATACATTAATGGTTGTTCTTATTTACTTATAGAGTATATGTGATGTTTTGATATAGGCATATAATGGGTAATGATTAAATCTGGGTAAATGGTATATCCATAACCTCAAACATCCATCATTACTTTGTGTTGGGAACATTCTAAATCTACTCTTCTAGTTCTTTTGAAATATACAATAAATTATTGTTAACTATAGTCACTCTGTTGTGCTACTGAATACTAGATTTTATTCCATCTAACTGTATTTTTGTACCTTGTACCAAAAAGCCAACCCTTCTTTATCATAAGGTGCTATCATTTTCTCAACTTTCCTGATGAACAATTCCCGGCACAAAGATACTACTCTATTTCCCTCAAGGCTAAACTGCTTGTAATGGGGTAAGTGGAGGCCATGGAATAGTAAACAATATGAGCAGTGTATAGCTAATAACAATAAAAGAGCCACTGTTAGTTAGGACCTGCTATTAACAAGTAAACCAAACATGTAAGGGATTAACTCAATGGCAAGGTATTCCTTGCTCATGTGATGCTCCTGAGCAGGTATTCAAGTCAGTAGGGCTGCTTTCTTCCATGTGGTCATTTAATGTCTCAGGCTTCTCACATCTGGTAACTCTGACATCCCCTAGGATTTCAGTTATCTGCATCCACACAGCTGAATGAGAAACAGCATGGAGAAACTTGAATGGAAAGTTTTATGGGCCAGGCCTGGAAGTGACAAACATCGTTTTCAATCACACTGCATAGGAGTTTATTTAGTCACAAGGCCATGCCTCACTGTAAAGGAGGCTGGAGGGAAAGCCCCCCTCTGTGCCCAAAAGAGGGAAGAATGGATTTTGATGGAAGCTAGCAATCTCTGCCTGCATCAGACTCTGTGGCCACCAAATATCCTTGCACATTTTTTCCCACATGTAAAAAAAACTCACTCTTTTCCCCAGAAGGACCACCTAGAGTTGCATTCTGGCACTGCAACTGTGTCAAAGACCAGCATCTGTTAAGTGATGCATGATTCTGTTCATTTGATCTAAACGTGATTCCTTGTGATCCAATAAAAGACAAATTATCTACCCATATACACAATTTGCCCCATGCGGTGGTGGGACAGGAATGGGATAATCAAAACATTCAAACTCCCTTTCAGAAAGGGAAGAATGGGAGACACATTGCAATAATAGAATTCTGATGACAATCCTGATAGTATCATCTATTAATGGAATCCAGAAACAATCATTTTCTAACTCTTTGAACCCATGAAAATCTGTGTTCTATCAATCTCAGCTTTAAAAACAACCAATTCATCTCTTCCCTTTCTTATAACACCTTGCTAAATATGTAAAATAACAATTAATACATACTAACATTCTGTCATTTTCCGGTCTCTTCATAGAGTGCTATGGACTCAGTGGGAAGTAGCTTTACCTTCCAGGTTTCACAAACAATAGTTTTACAAAATGTTTTGCCACAGTATAACACAGATCATCTTTCCAACCTGCTCTGTTTTGTCACCATCTGCCACCTAACAGCTAAGCCAACAGCACATGTATTTTTAGGTTTTTGTAATGATGGCACCATACTACTATGTAAGCTAAGATGCTGTAACAGATAGGCTAAAATATATAAGGGTTCAAACTATTAGAATCCTATTTTCTTACATAATTGCAACATGTATTTTAGATTTAGAGGGTACATGTGCAGGTTTGTTATCTGGGTATATTGCATGATGCTGACATTTAGGATATGAATGATCTTGTCACCCAGGTGGTGAGTACAATACCCAATAGTTAGTTTTTTGACCCTTGCCCTCTTCCTTCCCTTCCCAACTAGTGGTCCTCAGTATCTATTGTTGCCATCTTCCTGTCCATGTGTACCCAGTGTCTACCTCCCACTTATAAGTGAGAACTAACGTAGTATTTGGTTTTCTGTTTCTATGTTACTTTGCTTAGGATAATGGCCTCCAGCTGCATCCATGTTGCTGCAAAAGACATGATTTCATTCTTTTTAATGGCTACATAGGATTCTGTGTTGTATATGTACCACATTTTCTTTATCCAATCCACCATTGATGGGCACCTATGTTGATTCCATGTCTTTGCCATTGTGAATAATACTGCAATGAACATGTAAGTTCATGTGTCTTTTTGGCATAATGATATATTTTCTTTTGGATATATACCCAGTAATAGGATTGCTGGGTAGAATCCTGCTTTTGGTCATATAAGAGACCTTGGCAGGTCTTCAGGTTGGTGAGATAGTTCTGTTCCATGTAGTCATTCAGGGATCTACTTTTTTCCATCTTGGTACCCTGCCATCATCTAGGGCTTTGTGGTGCTCTGTATCTAGACACTAGAAGATGAAAGACTATGGAGGAGTAAGGGTAGGGAGTGGTGGTATGGGCCAGGCTGACAGGTGGCATGCATCACTTCTGTTCACATTTCACTGGAGAGAACTTAAACTGTAGGCCACACATTATCACAAGGAAGGCCAGCGATGTGCCCAAAGAAGGGACAAACAGACTTTAATAGACACTTAGTCATCTTCACCACAGTCATTAAGTTGAAATTGCTTATACCAAATACAATACGCACAGATAAACATATCAACTGCCTTAGCACCATGTTTAACTCCCTATTTATTCCACTACATATGACATACCTATATTTCCCAGACTTGCCTGGCCATAAGAAAAGCTTACTTGTTAAAAATGCAGATTCTTGGGTCCATGTAAGGGCTTCTACACCAGACCCATTTAGAGACAGAGCTGTGAATATGAATGTCAATAAGCTTCATAGAAATTTCTAATTAGGTAGAACTTGTGACACTGCTGTTTTAGAGTTCAAACCCATTTAGATATCACAAATGTATATAGTTTCAGCTAATGTGACTTAGTAGGTTCAGAAAACCCTTCTTTATGCTGTAATGGTGCCTATGAATCAAGCCAAAAGGAGCAATTCTATAGTCAACCATCCATCAGTAAAAAGCAATTTAAAAACAGATATGCATGTAAAATTTCTTGACTTGGGAGTTTCCAGCAGATCGTATCAAACAGAAAAGGCCTTTAGTGCCTCTTGGAAACGGCTAGCAAACTCCTAAGTGAGGAAACAGAGTGTTCTCAAAAAAGATCTGTACCTGCGGTGGGGGCATAGAGAGCTCCTGGAAGAAGGAGAATACAGAAGGCTAAGAACAGAAAGAATTGGGAGAGGGCTGGTGCAGGGTGGGAGGAGAAGCCTCAGGGAGTCAGACTAGAGGCAAGTGGGAATTCTGATGCGTAGCAGTAAGGAGACTAACCTTACTTACCCAAGGGCAGCCATGGGTAGCCAAGTACCAGCTGCTGGGGGAAAAGCCTTGAGCTTGGGCATAATCTGCAAAGCTACATATGGGTGAATCACTCCGCAAATGAAAAAAATAATCAACATGACTCTAAGACCTTCAGAGGGGTCACTGAGGGAAATTAGAGAGCACCTGCCCTCATGGGAAGAAACAAAGGAATCTTAAAAAAACAGGAAAGAGCCTGGGATCTTTGGGGTGGTTTTGATGCAGTTGTGTTTTGGAAGCTATGATTTGTTGTTCCACATTCATCCAGCCTTGTGATTATGAAATGAACAGTAAACATCTGTTTCCCCTCTGCAAATCCTTCTGTTCTTCTTCATGCTTTGACCTAACATTTGGGGAAAAGGAAAGAAAACAAAAACAGAAAACCTCTTACAGTACAAGTTCTCTGAGTCCAAAAAGACCTCTACTTAGGTCTTCCTGAAAGAAAGATGCATAAATCTGGGGAGAGACAGATCTTTTGTAACCAGAACTCAGCCACCCTTATCTGGACAGCCAGTTTACAATCACTCTTACTAAACGGGTACCAAGCCTTCCTTTAGTCTCTCCAGCTGTTTTAATACAAACTGGTAAATCAACTGAATCCAGATTGCCAACAAGAGAAAAACAACACTCTGCATGGCCTGAGCAGAATGCACCACAGTGAACAAAATGATTCCTGATCTTTTTGCAGCAAGTTACTTAATTAGCTAACATTAAGTAGCTGAGTATTTACTGTGTGTCCAGCCCTGTGTTGCCTTTGTTATCTTGCTTGAGCTTCACATTTTCTCTAGGTAGTAAGTATCCTCATTCCACAGACAAGAAAACCGAAGCTCAGAGAAGTGACATGTCCAACATCACTCAGCAAAGAAATGGCAGAATTGGGATTCAAATCTATCAGCTCCACAAAGGGGGCCCACTCTGATTAAGTTGGTCCCCCTTTCAAAACTTATTTACCTTCTCTGTCATTATAATTTTCTTTGTTTATTTAATTTTCCATGGCTTGTCTCCCCCTAGAATATATAATTCCTGAAGGCAGGGCCCTTTCTGTCTTGTTTACTTTTATGTCCTCCATACCTGGGAATGAGCCTACAACATAATAGCCACCCGGAACTGTTTGTTGAATGAATGAATGAATGACATCCAAGAGTCTCAGTCTTAACCAGTGCACTACACTGAAGTTAGCATCCTATGTGGACGCTCAGGATAATTTTCTATGTTGAAATTATTTTATCCTCCCACATGCTGAAAGGATATATTGTAAGCACCATGAGCATACATTAAAATAGATTATATTGACCTTATTTAAAACTTGTAAAAAAATTGTTTTCTCTGGAAAAGAAAACACCAAAAGGTTTTGCTTCCAGTCAAATTTTAAGCTTATGAGTTCTGAGTGATTTAGCTAGGCATAAAGTTGTTTTCCTAATTATATTGAGGATTTCTGTTCTACCTCTGTTATATTCTGATGCTATATCCTAGAGGCAAAGGGAAAAACTTAATTACTTGAAGTATGTGCTGCATACATTTTTTCAAATAATGAGATTAATTAAGAGGAAAAATAATCAGCAAGTAGTCTCCTTAATATATGCCAGGTACAAACCTCCTAAGAATTATGAAGAATGTTCATAAAATGTAACTGTTCATCTCTTAGAAAGTACACCAATTTTCAACTGGTATGCTTGCAAGAGATGCAATGACTATGTTCACATTCATTAATAATGGGGCCCTTTATACTTGTCAAAGTAAGAATTATTAGGAGGAAAACAAGGCTATGCTCTCTCTCCTCAGGAGTCCTCCTCTCTGCTCATATTGAATTAGCTTGCACTGGAAGCACTAAATGCTTTTTTTTCTAAACTAAAATGAATTTCAAATGACATTTGCAATAATTCAAGCTGGTAAATAAGAGCCTTAAGAGTTTTCCATAGTAAACACACTTTTAACCAAACTTTTCAAAAGAGACAAAGAGTTGATGCTACATCTTCAGTGTCAATATTAGGCATAAACTTTGCTGTAAAGATCCTACTCTATTCATTTCATTCATTTAGCCTCTTAATAAGTCTCCATATCATGTTCTTTCTTTTGGATAAACTAAATCTGTCAGGCTGGTTAGAGCCATTTTCTTTCCCTCAAGCTGAGCAAAGATGAAGAACACCTCATTATTATCCTCAGAATAATTACTCTTCATGTATTTCAAGACCTAGAAAATTCTCATCCCTGTCATCCTCAGATGATACACCCAGATCCTTCTCACTCCCCCATAGCTACTTGACCTATTCTTTCCCGCTTTTTTTTTCTTTTTTTCTTTTTTTTTTTATTATTATACTTTAAGTTTTAGGGTACATGTGCACATTGTGCAGGTTAGTTACATACGTATACATGTGCCATGCTGGTGCGCTGCACCCACTAACTCGTCATCTAGCATTAGGTATATCTCCCAATGCTATCCCTCCCCGCTCCCCCCACCCCACAACAGTCCCCAGAGTGTGATGTTCCCCTTCCTGTGTCCATGTGATCTCATTGTTCAATTCCCACCTATGAGTGAGAATATGTGGTGTTTGGTTTTTTGTTCTTGCGATAGTTTACTGAGAATGATGATTTCCAATTTCATCCATGTCCCTACAAAGGACATAAACCTGAGAAAAACAAGCAATGGGGAAAGGATTCCCTATTTAATAAATGGTGCTGGGAAAACTGGCTAGCCATATGTAGAAAGCTGAAACTGGATCTCTTCCTTACACCTTATACAAAAATCAATTCAAGATGGATTAAAGACTTAAACGTTAGACCTAAAACCATAAAAACCCTAGAAGAAAACCTAGGCATTACCATTCAGGACACAGGCATGGGCAAGGACTTCATGTCTAAAACACCAAAAGCAATGCCAACAAAAGACAAAATTGACAAATGGGATCTAATTAAACTAAAGAGCTTCTGCACAGCAAAAGAAACTACCATCAGAGTGAACAGGCAACCTACAAAATGGGAGAAAACTTTCCCGCTTTTTTAATGGACAGCTTTTCATGTATTCACTGCAAGTCAATCACAAATGACTTGCATTTCAAATCTACAGCAAGCACACAGTCACTCTTGCACTTTTTGGTGGGAATAGATATCTTGTCGACACGATTACTTGCAGGCCTAACAGGATGTAAACTCTAAATATTCTTTTAGATTACCTCTTTTTCTTTTTTCCCCTTTTTCTTTTTTCCCCTGGGTATGCAAGTTAATTTAGATCAAACTAATTAAATGTAGACAACTGAAGTCACCAATATGAGAGTACTACATTTCTCTTCTGGCATTTTAATAAATCTCCATTCAATTATCCCAGGTTTATCTACATTATAATATCATGTTAAGGCTTTCAAAAGACAGGATTTCTTTAGATCTAAGAATTAATATCATTGTGGGATCTTCATATAAGTTCAAGAGACCACATGGCACCTAATTAGAAATGCCTATGAAGCTTATTGACATTCATATTCACAGCTCTGTCTCTAAATGGGTCTGGTTTAGAAGCCCTTTTATGGACCCAAAAATCTGCATTTTTAACAAGTAAGCTTTTCTTATGACCAGGCAAGTTTGGGAAATATAAGTATGTCATGGCACTTGAAGAGCATACTTAATCTTGGCTCAACAGTTTTTGGTATTAAAGGATGCATTTTCGTCCCTGTGATTACCATAGATCACTGTGTTTTATAGTAATGAATATGGTATCATTTTAATAGATAGTCTAGTTTTACTAAGATTTAGTATGCAGTATATTCCACCTCATCTTAAGTTATTCTTTTGCTTCATTCCCGTCCTATCAGTTAACACATTAAAAGCTTCTTAAGGGTAGTGCACATCAGCCAAACATCCTATTTAGCAACCTCACCAACTGCTACAGATCCAATTCCAGTTTCACAAAAGATACTCTATACCAGGGTAATCTAGAACTCAGCAGATTTTCTGGACACAGGAAGAAATCTTAGGCTCTAAGCTGTAAACAATCCCTGAGACAACTACAGTTGACCACAAGTTATCTTGGAGCCTACTACTTCATCAACTAGCCTTAAGTATAGTCGTATACACAGCAGAAGAAATGGCTTTGTGTCATCATAAAAGTTTTTATATGTAGTTCCTCAAGTAATTTCCAAGACTCTAACTGATGTCCGAGTGCTGCACTTATGGTAGGAGAGGAAGAGTAGAAGAGGGTTGGGATATAGATAAATAGATATATCGCTTCAATGTCACAAGGAGCTAGTAAACTTACCATAGTTTTCCTTTGTGATATCCTTACTGCCTCAGCTTTCCTATCTTTCACCATCTCTTGAGCAATTTAGAAGCTTGTTCCCTGTGAAATGAGGAAGAGAATTATATTTTATTGGCAGACACTTAGCTCCAATTTTACAGCCAGTATCTAGTTATTCCCATAAACCCTGCAATTAACTCAGAGCCCAGAAAAGAGCACCACACAGAGCATTTTGAGGGTGAAAAGGGTCAGCCCACAGAAGGATCCATTTGTTCAGTAAAAAAAAGTTAGCATTTTTCGACTTCTTTGAAAATGGGGACCAGCAACCTTTAAACAAAGTATCTGATAATGGTGACTTCAGAGGATTTAATGCACTTTTTTTTTTCATTTCATGGTTGTTAAAATCAAGAATCTACTAATCAAGAAAAATTGTTTTTTCTTATTTAGTCTTTTTGCCTTCTACTTCTTTTTTAAAGGCTTCTAAACTTTCTTTGGTAAGTGCATTAAGAGTTCTCTTTTCTGGCCGGGCGTGGTGGCTCACACCTATAATCCCAGCACTTTGGGAGGCCAAGGCGGGAGGATCACAAGGTCAGGAGATCAAGACCATCCTGGTCAACATGGTGAAACCCTGTCTCTACTAAAAATACAAAACTTAGCTGTGTGTGCTGGCGCATGCCTGTGGTCCCAGCTACTTGGGAGGCTGAGGCACGAGAATCACTTGAACCCAGGAGGCGGAGGTTGCAGTGAGCCAAGATCGCACCACTGCACTCCAGCCTGGTGACAGAGCGAGATTGCATCTCAAAAAAAAAAAAAAAAGGTCTCTTTTCCTCCCCCTCTGTAGTATCTCTGTCTGGTGAATTTCTACATGAAGGGGAATGCGCATCTCTCTAAGAGAAAGGCAGCAGTACATTAACTTAACGAGCAGCTCCTGATAAGCCAAATTTCACCGTAGTACTATTTAAATTTCATCTTTTATTAAGAAATAAAAACACTTAAAATATTTTAATGGTATATATGAGAATCATAGAAATTCAGTTATGAAAATTATGCTGCGATGCAAGGGGAATGAAGGAGGACTGCATATTTCTTCTTCGGTGAATTAATCAGAGATTCTGAAGAAATAATGCAAGTCTATCCCCAAGCAATGTCTATCAAATCTACAGAAAGATAAAATTAAGTAATATTTTTCTCTGTGATTCTTCAAGGACAAGGTTTTTTTAATCCCCATTCTTTGTTCTGCTAGGATTCATTAGTATCCTCTCTTTGGTGCAGACAGTGATCCTCCTCTATTATTCCCCAAACTTCTGCTCTTTTCTCATTATAATATCAAGTCTCTTAATACCTGAGTAATTAAAAAAAAATCTGTACAATAAACCCCCATGACACAAATTTACCTATGTAACAAACCTGCACATGTATCCCTGAACTTAAAAGTTAAAAAAAAAAAAAATCTAGTTGGTTACGTTAAATAGAAAAAAAACAACAACCAACCAACCAAACAAAATTCAGGTCTCAGAAACAAGAAGATTCCATGTAATCTAGGGAGGAAGACAAGCCGAGGAACTACCCAGTGCCCAGAAATCCTGGCTGGGCAGCTCCATCTCATTGGCCAGGAGATGTGCTTTTGAAAGAAAGATCTGCCTGGAATCCTGTTCTGTTACATCAGAGTAGGCATCATAAAAGTTTTTATATGCGGTTCCTCAAGTAATTTCCAAGACTCTAACTGATGTCTAACTTAAGGGAGCTGGATATTCTTAGAAAAGATCAAAGTGTTCCCTGGAATACAAAAGACTGCACTTTTAACTTGACTTCCCAAACTCCTTCCTCCCTCATACACACTATCCTTCAATGGCTAATGATACAGAAATTCAAAAAGCAAAACGGAATTTTTTACTAAAGAATCTGACACTCTGTTCTATTTCTAAATATCTATACTGTGTTTGGTCTCTTGAGGCAGTAAGACCCCACAAACTTTCCTACTTCTCCTCTATGGTCTCTCAGCTACAGAGACGCCCTCTAAAACAGCTGCTCGGGCTGGGCACAGTGGCTCACACCTGTAATCCCAGCACTTTGGGAGTCGAAGGCAGAGAGATTGCGTGAGTCCAGGAGTTCGAGACCAGCCTGGGCAACATGAGGAGACCCCGTCTCTACAAAAAAATTTTTAAATGAACCGGATGTGGTGGTGCATGGTTGTGGTCCTAGCTACTTAGGAGGCTGAGGTGGGAGGATTGCTTGACCCCAGGAGATCGAGGCTGCAATGAGCCATGATCCAGCCACTGAACTGAGCTTGGGCAAAAGAGTGAGACTCTGTCTCAAAATATGTATATATATATAACTGCTTCTAATCCCTCTGCCAGGCTCTTCCTTCTAACAAGGCAAGCCTCTTTCTTCCTGTCACACATGGGCTTAGAGTAGGTACTTGGTAATAAATGCTGATTCTATTTCTAGAGAATGATTCTATTACTGGAGAATGGTGATAGCATTCTCTGACATTAGAAATAAAATCAGCATTATATATGAAAGGATACAGCACTTTTTCCAGTGTCAGAAACAAAACGGATTCCCCAGTGATGAGAACTGTGTTACGCATCTCCCATGGATGTGCCCAAGGAGTTCATTTTAAACTCCAAAATGAGAAATTTAAACTAGACAGTTTGAATATGACATTGTCATGCAATTTCCAAAGTAGTCATGGCATCCCCCTTCAGAGGCTCTGAGAAGATTTCGGTGTGAGTGGATTCACTACATAATGGGCGCAGCCTGGTGTTGTGGTGGATCTGAATGTCAAGAGAACAAAGGCAGAAGAATGCAACATTTTTTTTTTAATACTTTAAGTTCTAGGGTACATGCGCACAACGTGCAGGTTTGTTACATATGTATACATGTGCCATGATGGGGTGCTGCACCCATTAACTTGTCATTTACATTAGGTATATCTCCTAATGCTATCCCTCCCCCCTCCCCCCACCCAAAAACAGGCCCCGGTGTGTGATGTTCGCCTTCCTGTGTCCAAGCGTTCTCATTGTTCAATTCCCACCTATGAGTGAGAACATGCGGTGTTTGGTTTTTTTGTCCTTGCGATAGTTTGCTGAGAATGATGGTTTCCAGCTTCATCCATGTCCCTACAAAGGACATGAACTCATCCTTATTTATGGCTGCATAGTATTCCATGGTGTATATGTACCACATTTTCTTAATCTAGTCTATCATTGATGGACATTTGGGTTGGTTCCAAGTCTTTGCTATTGTGAATAGTGCCACAATAAACATACGTGTGCGTGTGTCTTTATAGCAGCATGATTTACAATCCTTTGGGTATATACCCAGTAATGGGATGGCTGGGTCAAATGGTATTTCTAGTTCTAGATCCCTGAGGAATCGCCACACTGTCTTCCACAGTGGTTGAACTAGTTTACAGTCCCACCAACAGTGTAAAAGTGTTCCTATTTCTCCACATCCTCTCCAGCACCTGTTGTTTCCTGACTTTTTAATGATCACCATTCTAACTGGTGTGAGATGGTATCTCATTGTGGTTGTGATTTGCATTTCTCTGATGGCCAGTGATGATGAGCATTTTTTCATGTGTCTGTTGGCTGTGTAAATGTCTTCTTTTGAGAAGCGTCTGTTCATATCCTTCACCTACTTTTTGATGGGGTTGTTTGTTTTTTTCCTGTAAATTTGTTTGAGTTCTTTGTAGATTCTGGATATTAGCCCTTTGTCAGATGAGTAGATTGCAAAAATTTTCTCCCATTCTGTAGGTTGCCTGTTCACTCTGATGGTAGTTTCTTTTGCTGTGCAGAAGCTCTTTAGTTTATTTAGATCCCATTTGTTAATTTTGGCTTTTGTTGCCATTGCTTTTGGTGTTTTAGACATGAAGTCCTTGCCCATAAGAATGCAACTTTTTAAAAAGCATTTTATTTATTGCCCTCCTCACCTCTGTGTTTCTGGAGAACACAAAGGAGCTAGGGAAGGAAGGACACAGCTCCTCCTGCTCTCAACTCACCTATCATTGATGAATGACAAGGGACAAGAAGGAGTCAGAGCAGAGTTTGGGCTCATGACCAAATCAGTGGACCTTGAGTTTGTTTTTCACAGAATTCATAGATGCAAGTCGCATGTGAAGATGCTCCATCTTGGAGGCACTTTCTCCAAGTTTTATCCACACTGCTGGGTAGAGTTGAGAAGCAGTGGTCAGCCATCTGGACTATTGGTTCTGGTGGGACCTATTGGTCTAGGAAAGAGGTCCTGTTATCCTCTATCTCCAAGGCCCCACCCAGCTTCTCTGTGTTGAACCCCCACCCTTGACAGATGACTCTTCCTTAGTGTTACAGATCACTTTTCTCTCCTCTTCATCCAAGTTTACATTTACACATGACATGTTTAACAATTACCCTACTCTCCCATCATCTCAGGATCTACAAGTTGAGTATTGCCCAAAACTCCATTCTCTCATCCCCCTGTATCAGTGTTTCTCTTACCGGGAGGTAATTATTATCTGCAGAGTTTCATGGGAAAGTTATGAAATATTCATAGAGGCTAACTTTCATACCTATCTCATTAGTTCAGAGCTGGGAAGGATGTTTTAAATGTGAATATCCCAACCTTGAATTTCAAGGACACCCCTGGAAGAAAAGACAGAGAAAACCAGAGACAGAGATACAAAGAGTTCATCTCTCTTGGTGGTACAAGAAGGAGGGAGATATATTAATATATTCCTCGAGTATTGTCCTCCAATACCCCTACACAAACTCTGCTTTTTCAGATTAGGGTTCAACCTCATCGTTAAAAGATGACGTCAACATGTTTTAATTTTTTTCCATGAAAGCTCTTTAAAAGTTTTTATAGTCTCATTTCATAGTCCAATTTCACTCAATCCTGAGAGCCTCTAAAAATAGCTTGTTGAGCAAATTTATTACCACAGCTTGCAATCTCTCTCCAATATTTAATTTTACATTGAAACCAGGTATTTAGGAAATAACCTGTCTTCTTGATAACATAGCGCTCCAGGGGTCCCCAGGCAACTAATCCTTTGCTAGCCAAACACTCCCAAGAAATCACAAATTATATAATGCACATGAAAGTGTTTGTGTGCTGGAAAGCACCTAAGAAATGTTATTGTTTCTTATGAGTAATAAATCACTTAATTTATTAAATGTGCCAGGAGTGTAGAATGACATAAGGTGTAATTAGCCACAAGGCACAGCAAAATCATAAAACCAAAGACATCCTCTTTCCCCAACACTGCATCTCTAAGAATGTAGTTAATCTTTATTTGTTCCTTCACACATGCATAAGCAATATGAATACATGAGTGCCAGAAATAGGGCTCAGAACTGGAGGTCTCTGCTTCATGTACTGTAACTCATGCGCACGGTCTTGTTCCTTTTATGGGTAGAAATGCCTCCAAGCTGTTTGCATTATCTCAGCAGCAGTTGGGGGGAGGGGGATCGGCACAGCCCACATCCCTTAGCTGCAGTACCAGAAGAATCGTTCCTAATCAAGCATGTAAATCCATTTGTATGACCTTAGAAAGACTCCCAATAAGAACATTTGGATATTAAAACACTCTATTCTAAAAGACATCATTGTAATTGTACTGTTCACTGTTGATACTATACCTAAAACAATGTATTGTCTAGTGAAAAATCCAGGCCTGCTTTATACAGAATAATTAATAAGCACAATGAGTTCCTACTAGGATAGATCCAGAATTTAGTTATTTGGAAGATTTTGTTTGTTTCTTTCCTGATTCCCCTAGCATTCTGACTTTGGAAGTTAATGCCCACTCTTATCCCACACTCCCAGTTTGGGAGCCCTGAGCTAACCCCCAGCCCCTCGACCCCATCTCAATTTTGGAAGTGTTTGAGGTCAATCTTCAAGGAAAGCCACTTTTCTCAGATGTATCCAACTATCACTTAAATAAACTATCATTTATACTTTTTTTTTTTTTTTTTTTGAGATGGGGTCTCGCCTTGTGGCCCAGGCCGGAGTGCAGTGGCACGATCTCAGCTCACTGCAAGCTCCGCCTTCCGGTTCACGCCATTCTCCTGCCTCAGCCTCCCGAGTAGCTGGGACTACAGGCGCCCGCCACTACACCCGTCTAATTTTTTGTATTTTTAGTAGAGACTGGGTTTCACTCTGTTAGCCAGGATGGTCTCAATCTCCTGACCTCGTGATCTGTCCGCCTCGGCCTCCCAAAGTGCTGAGATTACAGGCGCAAGCCACCATGCCCGGCCTCATTCATATATTTTTAAACAATAAAGGTTAGAAATTGATGGGGGAGAAAAATTTTCCCTTGGAGCAACATGAATTGCCTCCAGCTTTCCAGGAGAGGGTTATATTTGCTATTGAAGAAAAAAGAAAACAAAGCCATTTATAAGCAATCTCATCCCTATTCCCATAAACATTGAAAATCTTTCATTTTTCAAGCAATTTCAACTCTCAAATGCGTACTGAGAGTTTCTGAAAACCCATCTGATGTTTTCATTTTTACTTCTGTAAAATAATATCTCATTGAGACTTCTGATATGACCATGATTGTATAAATCCAGTGTTCTTCTCTTCTGTTCCTGAAAACTACCCAAAAGAAAAATGGGAAACAAAAACACAAATTGTATTTTCAGTAAAACTAGGACACAGACTCTAACGTATTTTGAAAAGGATGCCAAAAAAACAACAGAATTCACAGAAGAGACAACAGTGGGAAGTAGAAAGAAAGACCAGTGTTGTCAGGTCTCAGAAATGTCCCATAAAAATATACTTTTTTTTGAAGGCAAGGGACAGGCCTAGAGGGGAAAAGGACTACAACCCATGTATATAAAAGAGGTTCAGAAAAAAGATTAATCTTGCAGGTATCAGAAACCTTCAATAGACCCGGTTCACATCACAGAAGCTAAGGGCTTCAGGAAGAATAATGCAGATGGAGCCATATTTTTCTGAAGACATAGTCTTTGTAACAATTGAAAGTATCAGCCTTTTCATGTAAAAAAACTGCCCAACCTGGAATACCCCTTTGACCCCTTCTCGTGACCATTCACAATAGCTTATACAGAAAAATTCACCTCTTTATATAATAATCAATTTTTGAAAGAAACTAGTATTGCACTTAAAGGTGCCAGAAGAAATAAAGGAGGAAAAAATCAGCAACATTTATTAGCAGCTGAGACTTGCTCTCAGGAAAAATAATGCCATATGATAGGTAAATATTGTGAACAAATATTTTGCTATGACTGAGAAAAACATAATGAAACAATTACCTCTATGAAGAAAGAACACAAGGCAAAAATGCAAGAAATCAAGGAGAGATGGCAAGACACCTGGAGAAAGGGGAATGTGGGCTAGCAAAACTCAGGAAAGAATTAGAAGGAAATATAAAGCCATCAGAGAAATGTAGGTAAAATTGGAAACATCACAGAAACAGACCCTGTAGAAAACACATTAAGGGTTATGAGAATAGAGATATGAAAAGTAAGCCAGATGTAACATAAATAGTTTAAAAGAATTAGAGAGAAAATTATATATAAAACAATATATAAATAAAATAAAATATGAATATAATACATAAATAAAACTATATATACAAGAATAAACAAGGGAAACTCAGCATATGTATAACTGGAGTTCCCAAAGGATGAAAGAATAAAAGCATAGTAATGTCATAGACCAGATTTGAATATTGCTCAAGAAAAAAAAAATATCCTGGAGTAAAAGACATGAATCTACACCTTGGAAAATTTTTGCTAGGATAATTAAACTGGCACAGTCAATGCAAATACAACTCCTAGAAAAGTTAAAGAATACTAGCTTTAAAGACACAGGCAAAAAGATCAGGTCACGTAATGAGATGAAGGGAGCATGTTATATATTACTAAGACCTATTCCTAATACTAGAAGATGATGGGGCAATACCTAAAGATAATCCAAAAAAGGAAGTATGAGCTAAGTATTTTTTTTTAAGACAGAGTTTCATCCTTGTTGCCCAGGTTGGAGTGCAATGGTGCAATCTCGGCTCGCTGCAACCTCTGCCTCCTGGGTTCAAGCGATTCTCCCACCTCAACCTGCCAAGTAGCTGGGATTACAGGCGCCTGCCACCATGCCCAGCTGATTTTTGTATTTTTAGTAGGGACGGGGTTTCACCATGTTGGCCAGGCTGGTCTCGAACTCCTGGCCTCAGGTGATCCACCCGCCTCAGCCTCCCAAAGTGCTGGGATTACAGGTGTGAGCCACCGCGCCCAGCCGAGCTAAGTATTCTTATATTCAGCAAATAATACTTCAAGTAATGGCTACAAATAAACTGTTTTGAATATGCAAGGACTCTAGGAATATTGGTCTCATGAGGCTTTCTTGGGGAAATAAACTAATATATTTTTAAATGTTTCTTAAGGACACCAAAACAATGTGAACAAATGGTAATACATACGAATATAACAAAGATCCACTCTTCCCTATGTAATTTATATATTTAGCACAATCTTAATAAAAAGTCTAGTTCAAGTTTATATAGAAAAACAAAACAAACTGGAATAGCCAAGAAAAATCTAAAGAACACAAAAAGGAACAATACCCTATGAGTCATTAAAACAGATTATAAAATCTCTAATTACAACAGTGTGGGACTGACAAATAAATGTACCGACCATCCAAAACAGTACTTTATAGAAAGTCAAAACATAGAAAATGCAAAGGGGACTTTCGCAGAAGAAAAACAAACTATTCAACAAATACTTTGAGACTGCTGGATCTGACAATGATTCTAGCTTAATAACACACTTGACTGGCAAGGATGTAGAAAAATAAACATTAAAGACAGATTTACATGAAGCTAATGAAGATTACGTTTCAGAGCCCCTCATTTGCAGGAGCACCTTCCAAGGTTCTGGAATGGCTCTAAAAATGTGCTCACATGGTCATAGATTTATTAATTTGAATTTAGTCACATCGGTATAGGGTTTTGCTGCTTTTATGCCCCGTTAAGTTATTGGTAGCCTTCCTAGGATAAGAACGGCTTCCAAGAATATTCCTGTGACCCACCTACCAACTCCCCTAGGGCTGTAGGACAGAGGTGAAAGGCCATAGATTCTATTGTCCTATGAGCATGTCCAAGCACCCAGCACTGGAAGAATAACTTGCGGAGTTGATACAAGGTTTGATATGTTTCTCATTCTAAATAAAATATATGTACACTTTTACACTAACTTTGTATTTCTATTGTTGGATTATCTTTCTTAAAGAAAACTCATCCATTGATTGATGGTGGGAATGTAAACTGGAGAGCAAATTTATCAGAATTTCAAACACATACTCTTTTGACCCAACAATCCTTCCTTCTGAAATTTTATCTTACAGCTGTTCTCATACATGTGCAGAATGACTTACAGGCTCATTCTTGGCAGCGTTGTTTGTAATAGCAAACAACTGGAAATAATCCAACTATCTAAGAACAGGGGACTGATTCCATAAAGGATGACACACTCATAAAATGGAATACCATGCAATTGTTAAGAATAATGAGGAAGCGCTTAAAGAATTGATCTATAAATACCTTCTGATAAAGTTGTATGTGAAAAAAAGTCAAACTACAGAAAAATGTGTATAGTATGCTTCCATATGTGGTTAAAAAAAAAAAAGACGAAAACAGAATAGAAACACAATTGCAATGCACACACACTTTAAAAATCCGAAGAATAAACAAAACTCTAAGACACCAATCATCTATTGGAGGTTGTAAACTGGATAAATGAGAAACATGAGTGGGAATTAGACTATTCACTGCATGCATTTATACATTTTTATGTTTTAACTCATGAATGTTATTATGCATTCACAATTAAGTAATTTTTGAAGGACCTCATGGCAGCATTACCTTCCGAGTTTCTTCCAGAAGCCTTCCAGAGCCCTCAGTGAGGATTTCCTGCTTTTCCTACATGCTCTCATAGCTCCTTCTTCTGACCTGTCATAGCACCTATCACACTGTATTATAATGGCCTATTTACTGAGGTGTCTCTTCCACTAAAATAGAAGTTTCATAAGAGGAACCAAATCTCTAAGCATCTGGCATGGTGCCTGCTTCATACAAGGTGTACAAAATGCTCGTCAAGAAAAAGTCAATAGGAAATAAGTTGTTTCCTTTCAGAAGTAAAATGCTCAACACTGTTTGCTTAGATAGTATATCTACAAAGTGAGTCCAAATAATTTGGGTCCAAATAACTGCTTTAAAGCAAAAAAAAGAAGGAGGAATGTTAGTTTGAATTTAACTATGTTAGTATTATGTATTCATTTTCTATTGCTGTATGGCAAACTACCACAATCTTAGTGACTTGAAACAATGCTCATTTATTAGCTCACAGTTCTGTAGGTCAGAAGTCCAGCAGGCATGAATAGATTCTCTGCTTAAGGTATCATAAGGTCAAAATCAAATTGGTGGCCAGGCTGGTCTTATCAGGAGTCTCTGGAGAAGAATCTGCTTCTAAGCTTATTCTTTTTTTTTTGCAGAATTCATTTCCTTGGGATTGTAGAACTGAGGTTCCTGTTTCCTTGCTGGCCATCAGCCAAGCACTGTTCTCAGTTTCTAGAGGTCACTCGCAGTCTTTGACACATGGCCCCCTCCATCTGCAAAGCTCTCAGTGAAGCACTGCCTTCACAACAGATTCTTCTCTTGTTTTAAATATCTAATTTTCCCTTCTGCTACCAGCTAGAGAAGACTCTCTGCTTTTAAAGGGAACATGTGACTCAGTCAGGTTCATCCAGATAATCTCCTTATCTTAAGGGCAGCTGATTGGTAACTTCATTGCATCTGCAAAATCTCCTTTGCCGGGTAACAGTAACATAAACATGGAATACCACGGGTCAAGGATCACTGGGGTTATTTTAGAACTATTTCCACCATACCGTGTTGGCTCTTAACATGTCAACACTAATTATCCCTAAGGAATAGTAACCCAAATTTAGGCCGCTAAGAATTTTCTCCCTTCTCCACATATTTCTCTCTCCTTTCAATTTCTGGGATTTAATGACCTGAGAACACCAGCTGGTGTGTCTAAAGATTGTCTCAACCACCCTTACAGAAAAACAGTGTGTGGGAGGGCAGAGTGGGGTGGCAGTGGTGATGCAAGCAAAGGTATGTGTATGGACAATCCTAAAAATTGTCACAGGAGACTGAACAACAAAAAACGTTAAAAAAAAAAACTAGTAAGTCCAATTTCTATAGGTATCTAAGACTGACCAAGATATAGAAGGAAATTCCCCACACCTACTTCAGTAGTGGAGTCCTACTGAAAACAGAAATGTTGTCCCTCACATAAAGACTTTGAAGTTGCCATCAACTCAACTGACTTTGGTGTTTTCTAGTTTTTCTCCCTATAACTATGTTTAAGTTCTTTCCTTCCTTTCTTATTATATGGTATTATTTGGCGTGTCTATTCTCTATTTCCCTTTGATTTGACATTGCTCTTCTATATAACAGTACCATCAAAACTAGCAGTAGTTCCCACTGCCCAGCATTTATGACCCCAGTACTCACATGACTGTCCTTCACACCTTCTTCAGAACCCTGCTCAAATGTCACGTTAGCAGCAAGATCTTCCCTAATCATGCTGTATAAAAACGAGCTACTCTCCACTCATCTTGCCTTATTTTTCAGTAGAATTTATCACTATCTAATACATTGCACACACATATGTACACACACACACACACACACACACACATACACACTTCTTTATTATCTCTCTATTAAGAAAAGGGTGCCATATCTCTGGCATTTAGAAGAATTCCTGCACTCAATAAATATTTTTGAGTGAGTGAATGGAAGTTTACAAGGGTACAAGGCTTTTTTTTTTTTTTTTTTAGATGGAGTCTCACTCTGTCGCCCAGGCTGGAGTGCAGTGGTGTGATCTCAGCTCACTGCAACCTCCGCCTCCTGGGTTCAAGCAACTGTGTGATCTCGGCTCACTGCAACCTCCGCCTCCTGGGTTCAAGCAATTCTCCTGCCTTAGCCTCCCAGGTAGCTGGGACTACAGGCGCCCACCACCATGCCCAGCTAATTTTTGTACTTTTAATAGAGATGAGGTTTCACCATGCTGGCCAGGCTGGTCTCAAACTCCTGACCTCAGGTGATCTGCCTGCCTCGGCCTCCCAAAGTGCTAGGATTACATGTGTGAGCCACCGCGCCTGGCCGAGACTTTCACTTTTAATTATTTTTATGTTAGTTCTTCCGCAATTCCAACAATGATTTGTATCCATCCCTACCTTTTTCCTCTGATGTTATAAGCCCTTTATAGTGGATGTAAGAGAGTACTTATGAATAAGCACAGAAACATTTACCAGTTCCATAATTCACTAGTGAACACAACTACCTTGCTGGGTGATGTTAACAACTACTCAAATAAAGTAAAATCACTTCCTTTATAACATGCTCTGCTTCAACCATTGTTTTTCCTGGTTCCATGGGCAAAGAACTAGTCATGCTTTTGCAAAACTTCACATTACAATAACGTTGTATAGCCATGTTAGGAATGGACGCACACACATGTACGGTGGTCAAAAGATGTGATTTTAAACCAAATATGCACAAATTAAACACTCAGCTCGGTATTGCAGTGGTGACTTGATTTTAGACAAGTCACTTAAACTCTAAGCTATTGTTTCTTCATGTATGAAATGAGGATAATAATAGGACTTATTTCACCTAAAACTTATGAGGATTAATTAAGCCAATGCATCAATATATGTAGCAGTGTTGAACAAATATCGGTGGCTTCTGCTATTGTTGTTTCTGTTCATGTGGGAAAGATACTTGATACAACTTTTTTTGTCCTTTTGTAATATCTCATCTCATAGACTATATTTTCTTTGGCTATGCTCAGTTTCCTATATCCAGGGAAGAGCAAATAATACAAAATGTCCACAAACAAAACCAGTGTGGATTAACGTCAGTTGGTTTGGCTCCTAAAACACTGAAATGAGGTGGGAAGTTATGGTGCACACATGTGTGACAGTCTCTTCATAAGGAGAGCAGACAGTCATGACAGTTGAGTGCTTAGGACACTGGCATGCCCGAGGCAGGGAATGATGCGACATGACTTCCTGGGGTCTCTTCCAGGCCTACATTTTATTTTTCTTGGGAAAAGCTCCATACACTATGAGTTTCATCAAATCATTTTCAACTAGAGAATCACAGCCGCCACCCTCAAGTGAAGTCTTACATTCTTGGGAATTCAAGCATACTTTTCTTTTCTGATACTTCAAAAGATTACTTTTTCACAAGTCCTTCTTAAATTTAAATTTAGAATAAGAAAGCTGTCTTATTTCCCTAAAAACTACATTTTGCTGATCCAATATAATCTGAAAGAGGATTTAGATGGTAGCAGAAGGGAGAAAGGTATGTTAAGGTACCTGGGAAGTGGGCAACAAGGAAAACAAGCACAGTCTGTGTGTCAGAGCCACTTCCCTGAATAGCTGTTTAGCAAGTTGGCCAGAATCTAAAGCCAATGCACCCTGGTTCCTTGCAAGAAGCTCTTCACTGCACAGTCTATATCAAAACTCAATAAGCCATAGTTGGTTTAAATTAAGTCACATTATCATGTTTCTCATGTAAGATCGAGAGGCAATAATAAATATGATTTATGCAAGCATAATAATTATACCATACAATTCATCCATTTAAAGTCTTTTTTTCTTGCCTTTTTTTTTTTTTTTTTTTTGAGACAGGGTCTCACTCTGTCACCCAGGCTGCGATGCAGTGGCGCGATCTCAGCTCACTGCAACCTCCATCTCCCAGGCTCAAGCCATCCTCCCAACTCAGCCTCCCAAGTAGCTGGGACCATAGGCATGCACCACCATGCTGGGCTAATTTTTGTGTTTTTGCAGAGATAGGGTTTCACCATGTTGTCCAGGCTGGTATCAAACTCCTGGACTCAAGCAATCCACCTGTCTCGGCCTCCCAAAGTGCTGAAATTACAGGCATGAGCCACCGCACCCAGCCTCCATCACTCAATAAAGACATATTTTCATGAGTATTCTTAATTCTTCAAAGTTGAGGAGAGTAGCCAAAGGATAGGTGAGGCAATATTAATTGAGGAGAATGTGAGGATCATGGGAAGTGGTATGTAAAAAGAAATGGAAAAGTTGCTTGGGAATGAAAAAAAAGAGAGGGCTTTGTATTCTGAAACAGGGCTCAAGAGCATGGCCTTTGAGCTCACGAAATAAGTAACTTCCTGCCAAATCCTGACAGACAAAAAGTATATTAGTAGTTTTCAGGGACTGTGAAAGGGCTGAATGGGGAGTAACTGCTCTTGGGTACAAGGTTTCTTTTTAGAGTGATTAAAATATTCTGAAATGTATTATGGTGGTGGTTGCACAACTCTGTGATTCTACCGAAAACTATTGAATTGCACTTTAAATGGATGAATTGTGTGGTATGCAAATTATATCCCAATGAAAATGCTGAAAAAATAATTGGAAGGGGGAAAAGTAAAGACAGTAATATGATGCCTTTGCTTATGAAAGTGAACCTCAAACTAGACAGTAGCTAACAACTGAAATAACAGGAGAGAAAATTTTATTTCAAATTATTAGATAAATTCATCAATGTCCTTAGTTCCTGAAATCACAAACTAGATTTTATTTAATAGCTACAATAACACCTGGCTACCAGGACAAATAACTCTTGAATCTGTCATCTCCATTCCTACTGTCACTGATTTAGTCATCCTCTCTTCCCTGGACCATTATACAGTAACAGCCCTTTAACCAGCCTGGCTTCTCGCTTGGGACTCATTCTCCATATTACCACTAGAGAGGTCTTCCAAACAACAACAACAACAAATCCAAGCACATCAATCCTCTGACCAATATCATCCAGCAGCTCCCAACCGTTCCCAGAATAGAGTTAGGAATCTCTAGACAGGCTTAAAATGCCTTCATTTTCTGTGCTCTGACTCCTCTTTTCAACCATATCCCCACCTACCACCCAAGTGAACCCTGGGATTGGGCCGCACTGCACTACATGTCAGTCCCACACTCTCATTTCCACATTTGTGCAAGCCACCTGGTGTGTACAACCGTCATTGTCCCTGGAAAGCTCTTGTACATCTTTTAATACACAACTCAAACTTTACCTCCTTCTTGAAAGCTTCTCTATTTCCCCAGATGTTCTACTGGGTGATTCCCATACTATGATTCCTTAATTCACCCATGTATTCTACAAATATTTATTGAGTGGGTCAAGCATACAGTGGGTCAAGCATATAGTACCTTATCTGCGCCTTTATTACAGCAGGGCTCACACTGATAGAACTTTGTACATCTCTGCTCCTCCGACTAAACTACGATCCCTCAAGGGCAGATATCATGTTCTGTTGTTCATCTTTGCATCCCTGCTCCTAATATACTGCCTGATATATTATAGGTACATAACAATGCCTTGGATAAGTGAAAAAAGGGCACTAAAGAGATTATTTGAATATGCTCAACATTACCTACAAATCATCCTTTCGCTTCAGTATAAAAGACCTGATATAAAAGAGATATGTTTTATTGGTACTAGTAATAGTAATGCCATTTTGTGGTTGTTCAGATCTAAAGCCTTTGAATATATAACCCACACATGTACACACACATATAATTATATAGTTTTTCATATTTGAACATGAAAGAGTTTAAAACAGATAAAATAAACCATTAACATAATTTTTCTCACTTTTGACTTTTCACATATATTTTTTCCAAAAAATATATATAAATTTGTACTTAAGAAAAGAAAGGTGAAATTCTCTGTCCCCACAGAGCTCCATCCGCACTATTATGCAAATAACTGTTTTCTTTAACCACAATTTATTTGGTAAGCCCCGAACCAACATTCCAATCATTTGCTAAACATATCCACTGAGGCATGGTGCCCCGTTAAAGAAATTAGTTCCCTTCCTTTTAATTTTAAAATATCTAGGAACCAGTAAACTCAGAAACATTGTGATCCCAAAATACTGTTATGTTTCCTGCCAAGTTTCTTCTGTCTAATCTAAATCTCCTCGGGTTTCTATGCTAAGGTGAAAGCACTTTGGTGACTATCTCTTTACTAATATGCCAAACTAAGTTCTCGGGGTTCTTCTTTCGGGACTCTAAATTATCAAAAGGCATATCAAAACTATTACTGGTCCGGGATGTGATACATTCCACAAGAAAACTTTCCTGGACTCCAAAAAAAAAAAGAGGCACTATCGCAGGAAGGAAAAAAAAGGTGAAGAGACAGCTATAGATTAAATGCTCTGTTTTAAGCTGATTGGATCCTGATTTTAAAAAGAAAAAAAGCTATTAAAGTCATTTTGTAGGCAATTAAGGACATTTTAATATGCAGTGATTTAGATTACATTAAGAAATTAATGTTAATTTTCTTGGTTATGATAGTGCTACTGTGGTTATCTAAGAGAGTGCTCTTATTCTTAAGAGATGCTGCTAAAGTATTTATAGGTAAAATGTCACCATGTCTACAATTTACTTTCAAATGGTTCAGGGGGCAAAATATGTGCATACATATACAAAGAGAAAGTATTTGTGGGAAATGGTTAACACTGCTGAATGTAGATGGGGGTCATAAGGTGTTCCTACAATTCTTTCAACTTTTTGGTATGTTTCAAAATTTTCAAAACAAAAAATTGGAATAAAATCCTCTTTGAAGAAAAATTTTCTTAAAATAATAACTGTCCCTTCTGCTGCAACACACACTATTTCAAACTGATAAGGTCATTTAGTATTAGAGATAAGTCTGTTGGTCATTCATTATTAACTCCAGAACTGTGTTTAAATCAGAAAATTGAATTTGCTAATCTTACCATAGAACTTATCAAAAGACTTGAGGTTATAATTATTTTCTCCTAGAGAAGAAATCTCAAAATATAAGTTTATAGCTTTCTGTAATAAATGCTTTTTTGCTTGAACAAGTATTCCCCAGGAGAAAAATGTGCACATGGAAACACATGGAAGAAATTCTCCATCCTTAAATACATTTCTTAATTATTTCAATGTTTTAAAAGCAGCAATCATGAACAGGTTTTATTGTTTTAGATTTTTCCACATATAACAAACCTTCCTTTCTACATCCTCTCTTCTTACTCTGACCCTACAGAATTCTCTTTTACGGCCAACAAGTTCCAAGAGAGGCTACAGGCTCTGTTTCATGCATCACCTGACATAGTACCTTTTCTTGGAACAAGGTCTCTTCAGTAAAGCCTGCTGTGTAAGCCAGCTATGGTGGTAGAATACCCAGCTGAATGCCTTCTGGAATATTTTTTTCAAGGTCTGTGTATTAGTCCGTTTTCACGCTGCTGATAAAGACATACTTGAGACCAGGTAATTTACAAAAGAAAGAGGTTTAATGGACTCACAGTTCCACATGGCTGGGGAGGCCTCGCAATCATGGCCAAAGGTGAGGAGGAGCAAGTCACATCCTACGTGGATGGTGTTAGGCAAAGAGAGTGTTTGTGCAGGGAAAAGTCCCCTTTTTAAAACCATCAGATCTCATGAGACTCATTCAACACCACAAGAACGGCACGGGAAAAACCTGCCCCCATGATTCAGCCACCTCCCACTGGGTCCCTCCCACAACACGTGGAAATTCAAAATGAGATTTAGGTGAGGACATAGTTAAACCAACCCAGTCTGTATGTGGCATGAAATGTTTTCTAGTTACCAACAAGTAGTGAAGTGTCCTGAATTCTCTCTTCATGGGAAGAGGCTTGAAACACACACACACACACACACACACACACACACACACACACAGAGTTGTCTCTCAATCTTTGTAGGAGGATTGGTTCCAGGACCCTCCACAGATACCAAAATCCACAGATGCTCAAGTCTTTGATATCCAATGGTGTAATATTTGCATGTAACCTAAACACATCCACCTGTATACTTTAAATCATCTCTAGGTTACTTATACTTCATACAGTGTAAATTCTATGCAAATAGTTGTTATACTGTATTGTTTAGGGAATGATGACAAGAAAAAAACATGTTCAGTACAGATGCAATTGTCCCTTTTTTTCCTGAATATTTTTGATCCTTGGTTGGTTGAATCCATGGATGCAGAACCCAAAGATATGGAGGGCTAACCTACTGTGCAGAACTTTAATTCAAAGGAACTTGAATAGACAAAAGAAGATGTTTCATGATACACAGCTTGCCTAGAGAAATAAGAGAAAATATGAGCAAGAGAATAAAAAACAAAGTTTTCTTATTTTTTTAAGAAGGAGCTTGGACCCGTATGAAATAAGATGATATAACCTAGAAAGCATGATCTGACAAAATATTAACCAGCTCAGTTTATTTTATGAGAAAAAAAGCTTTAAAATTTAAAAAGAATAATTTTCTTTAGTTTCCAAAGTACTCTGCACAACACTTGAAACAGTATAAATGTCAGATCAATTGCAGTCCCCAGATAATTTTTAATTTTAAACATTAAAAAGTGTCTGCTCTTGAAAGTCTTTATCATTTCTAAAATCTTCCTAGCTTCCCTCTTAGGCCAAAGCAGGAGACTAGTATGTGGCATGCATCCTGTTAGCCATGACTCAAAAACTCCAATACACACTTGTTAAGTTTCAGTTTAACTTAAAATTTCATAGTTTCAAAGGGCAATTTCGTCTTCTGGTTTTCCAAATAGTATCCAAATATGGCAGAAACAACAGAAATAGCTGAGAAATGCTGATGATAATTTAGCTATACATTTGTTTAAAGTTTGATTTTTTATGAATTTCTACTGGATTCGAAGGTTAGACTGAATTAATCGGTGTGGATCGTCAGACTATCTCCATCACACCTGGTCTTGTTATCACAGCACAGTGAGACAAAGGGATTTTTCACATGCTTCTCTTTCTTTAACAAGTACAACTTAGGTGTGAGATAAATTTTTCTTGCCGCTTACGCCTGGTTGTTCTCCCACCCTGCTCTGTCCTGCTGGTCCTTCAGCTGCCAAGCATTGGCAAGCTTCAGACCATATTCACCACACTCTAGATTCACTCTAATGAGTTCATCCCTTGGCCTTGATTTCCACCAGCAGTAGATCACGGCTTAACATGGCAAATCTTTCACATACGGAAAAAAATCTTTCTTGATAATTCGTGACAGATGAGAACAAAAAATTGTACAATTCAGGTATATTTAGAAAGTTGAAATCAAATTCATTTTAGAAGTACTCTTAGAGGTAGCTCCTGTGTTTTGTTTGCTTGTTTATTTGTTTGCTTGCTTGCTTGCTTGCTTTCCTGGGCCAAAGTGAAAAATGTAGTTCAGACCAGACCACTTTTAGGAAGCCATGTAAACTGTTGAAGCAACAGTCATCATCAGCATGGTATAAAACTAGCTTTTCAAAGATCAGGGTCAGAAGAAAGTCTTGAGCTATGCATTTTATTTATTATTATTATTATTTTTTTAGACAGGGTCTGGTTCCATCGCCCAAGCTAGAGTGCAGTGGTGCCATCTCAGCTCACTGCAACTTCTGCCTTCCAGGCTCAAGCCATCCACCCACCTCAGCTCAACCTCCCAAGTAGCTGGAACTATAGGCACACAACACCATGCCCGGATAATTTTTGTATTCTTTTTAGAGACAGGGTCTCACTTTGTTGCCCAGGCTGGTCTCGAACTCCTGAGCTCAAGCAATCTGCCCACCTCGGCCTCCCAAAGTGCTGGGATTATAGGCATGAGAAACTGCACCTGGCCTATGTACTTTCAGTAGTGCATAGGATGGTAAACACAGTCAGCATGGAGCTTATGGAGCCCTGTTCATGCCTCAGGAACTATGAAGGGGATTTTCATATATATCCGCACATATTCCTGGGGATCCTGGAAGGTAACTGTGATTTGCCCAATGCTGGAAATGAGGATGATGCAGCTTAATTAAGAAACATGCCCATGGTGGCATCATGCTTGAGTGGGCAGCAGAGTTGGAATTGCATCCCATGCTCATAACCTTAAACCACTCTGCTATGTCACACCCTAGGCTGGAAAGTGGGGGCCCAACTTAGCATGCGGTCTCTCCAGGTCATTAGACACTGCTGGGACCTATTCGAGTGAATACCAACTCATGGTTTTTTTTCTGTTTGTTTGTTTGTTTTTTATTTATTTATTTGAAATGGAGTCTACTCTCTCACCCAAGCTGGAGTTCAGTGGCACAATCTCGACTCACCGCAACCTCCGCCTCCCAGATTCAAGCGATTCTCCTGCTTCAGCCTCCTGAGTAGCTGGAACTACAGATGGCAGCCACTACACCTGGCTAATTTTTATATTTTTAATAGAGACGGGGTTTCGCCATGTTGGCCAGGCTAGTCTCGAACTCCTGACCTCAAGTGATCCGCCCGCCTCAGCCTCCCAAAGTGCTAGGATTACAGGCATGAGCCACTGCACCCGGCCAACAACTCATTTTAAAGTAGGAATTGAAATGAGCATTCAGACAACAAATTTGGCCCATGTTACAGGGAAACTCTGGGGAGCCCACAGATTTTCTGTAATTCTCCTGTCATTCTAAGAACATTTGAAGACAAGAATCCACATACTCACATGGACTCCTTTGAAAAAATTACAATGGATTCAAATTGTTGCTGAAAGTTGCTTTGACTAGAACCACTAACTTAGTTATCAGAAGCTGACTTGACTGACCTACTGCACCCGACCAGAGCTTCTTCTCTGCTTCAGGGGCTAAGACAATCATGTCAGTGTGCCTTGGCTGCCATTTTTGTGATGGCCACTGCTATCCACTTGCAGGACAGACTTAAGGAAGCAGACTTCTCTTAAGATGATTAGAGAAAGGGAAAGAGAAGCTTCTTTACCAATCTATGTGTGGTATTTTCTGGAATTAAGGGCAGAGAAAAGGGAAGCTTATGAAGAAAGTCAGGGCCAGGCTAAAAGACTAGAGATGAAATTCTGAAGAACCGAAATAAAAACTTGTGTGGATGTCTGAATCTCACTATTTCTAATCCTCAGGAGTAAAGGCCCTGACTTGCATTTCCTTTATAAAGTGCCATAGAATTTTTATATTTTATTTCACATGGTAAATACTCTGTAAATATGGTAGAATGAGAAAATGAATAATTTAAAACATTGAAAATAGGGCCTTTGAGAAAACCCTTAAAAGGTTGGATTTGTTTAATAGGAAGAAGCAAAGGCTGAGAGGTAATTCGTGGTGAAACAAAAATATTAAAAGTTTTAATAATAAGAGTATGTAAATATACTTTCTTTCTGGAATAGCCTAAGTGTAGTTGTATCTACAAGAAAGAGAGTAAAAAATCTCATCCTTTTCAAAGATGCACATTTATTATTGTCATCAAAACCATTAAGTGTTTTTTGGCATGAGATACTACTATATTAGTTGCTATGCGGAGCAATTTGGACCGAAATCCCACATTTCTTTAGGAATTATAGCCTCATTCCTGCAGAGGCTGCTGTAGCACAGTATAACAAATGCTTGCTGGTTGATTGATCTCAGAGAAGGGAAAAGAAAAAAAGATACAGCTGAAGATGTATAGGGCTCCAGGCATGAGAAGAGAAATGTGAATAAATAGATACTGGAATATTTACATTGAATATGTGGTAAAAGTAATAAGGGAAGGAGTGGGTGATTGATACCCAGCAGAAGCTGTCAAAATACAAAAAAAAGCAAGCCCACAAACTATAGGGTCACTTGTTTTATAAACCTGTTATTAAATCACACAATAGATATTTCATAAATACCTATTACCCTTACAGAACAAGTAACAAAACATAATGAAATCAAGTTATGTCAGGATTTTCCCCATGAAATTAGGTTTCTCAAGGAAAATTATTCAATTCATTTAATGTAACTAAGACATTTATAATAGGATTCCACTGTATTGCTTTTCCCATTTTTGACAATGGTTCCATGAAACGGCAACTCACTAAGAATGTGTTCAACAGTGGACTAAGTATTTAAAGCTTTTGGTTTCAAATTCAACCCATGGCAAGTCCTCTCCGAATATTTCCCTTGCTTTCTCCCCAGAGAGCTCAGGAGAAACAGTAACTAACATAATATATAAATACCAGATAACAAAGACATCCAGAAAATCCCTTTGAGGTTACCATCAGTTCTAGAGTGGCTTGCAAAATGCTGCTCAGGGAAAAGTCCAGTGCAGTGGAGGCCACGCCATACGCGCATTCATTCCATGGTCATTGAAGTCTACGTTTTTGTAATGTGGATTTTAAGCAGGGAGTCAAAAATTCAGTGTCATCCTAAATGTATTGACCATCTGTCCTCTAAGTTTTCTGGGAAAGCAGGACCAAAAATCATTTGCATCCTCCCAAGTCTTCCATAGAGCCATAAATACTCAAGAGGCACAGAGACAGGGAGAGAGGAAGAGATTACTAATCCCATCAACAACTTGCCAGTTTTATTTTTATATTTTAAAAGAATACTTGTTACCCTTGTCTCTGGGCACACATTCAGAAGAATGGCTTGCCAATAGTTTTTGGTGGTTTCAAGGGAAGGTTTAAGATTTATTAATACAAAGGAAAGCAAGTACAAGCAAAAGACACTCGCATTAACTACCTTTATGTGCTTTCTGCAGCCTTGCAGATGACAGGAACATCAATATCCAGTTAACTTTGCAGAGCAGTTAGTTATGTTGTTAAGAGGTTACGAGGAAAAAAAGTACAGGCTGGCACCAGAGCCAACTGGGAAGTCAGCCTAAGGCCTGCAGGGTATCTGAAGGCGCAAAGCCCCATCGGCACTGGTTGATCCAGTAGCAAAATGTCAAACTAATTTATATTCAGGCCAGGAGGTTCCATGGACTAAAGAAAAATGAATAAGTAGTATAAGGACACTATTTTTCAAAGCTACATTACCCTCAAGTGAATTAAAAGTTCATTGGTGAAATCACCAATGCCTCTCAAAAATTTTGACCAAATGTAGTACTTTGGCAGAAAATGACTACAAAGTAAATGCTTTGGTGGTAAGTCCAAAGGAAGCTGAGTGACTTGGAGATGGTATGGGAGTGTATCCAGAAACAGAGAGCACAAAATGTCTTTGAAAGTCCATGTTTTAATATCCTTGTGAATTTGGCATTCTACCTCATAATATTGCCTTGTTTAAAGTGAAAATGAAGCGTATATACTTTCTTTCTGGAATAGCCTAAGTGTAGTTGTGTCTCAAAGAAAGAAAAGAATGATAGCTCAAAGATGTAAAATGAAATGGCCACAATTTTTTGCTACATGCAGTATTTTTGTATAAGTGAACAACTCTGGCAAATGATTAAAAATTAAAGGTTCCATTTCCTATTGAGTTTTATAGTTCAAATGTAATCCCATACTTGAGGAGGCAGGAGAATGACTTAAGACCAGGAGTTTGAGAACACCCTGGGCACCATGTAACATAGCAAGACCTCATCTCTATTTTTAAAATTTAAAAATTAGCCAGACGTGGTGGTACATGACTGTAGTCCTAGCTACTTGGGGTGTTGAGGAGGGAGGATCACTTAAGCCCAGGAGTTTGAGACTGAGTGAGCTATGATTGTGCCACTGCACTCCAGGACGACAGAGCAAGATCCTGTCTCAAAAAAGAAAAAAGGGGGCCAGGGGGTTTTGTTGGGAGTTGATGTGCAGGAAGACACATTCCTTCTCTGTGCCTCACTGCTCAAACCCACTTGGAGAAGCCTGGCTGTGATGGGAAGGCACACATTGACAATCACCATAAGTTTCTTTGCCGTGATTCTCTTTAAGCCATTCCACACTCCAATTCTGTGAGAAAAAACTCATAAGCTCTCATCCAAACCAAACTCCACTGTCAACAGACCTATACAACCAGTTATGTTAAGGACGGTAGTTCAAAGATGTAAAATGAAATGCCACAATTTTTTGCTATGTGCAGTATTTTTATATAAATGAAAAACTGGCAAGTGATTAAAAATTAAAGGTTCCATTTCCTATTGAATTTTACAGTTCAGATCAATATGTTGTGTCATCCACATCCCCAAATACAAGGAACCCACTGGATTCCAAGGGGCATGACAATGCATATTGTAGGCATAGGAAAGTGGACAAGCGGTACTTGCACCTTCTCATAACTTTTTAAATTGAAATAAAAAACAAATTGAAGAAAATTTCAAAGGGAAAAAAGTGATAAAATATACCTTCAGGTTCTCTCTAGCCCCAATCTGAACAAGCTCTTTTAAAAGCCAAAGGGAAAACAAGTATTTTTCCTCATCTGTCTTGAGGTAACCCAGCTGGTGTCATTATTAACTGGTGTTTCAGTTGGAGTGAAGAACCAAAACTAGCTGCTCCTATTCCCATGCTGTTTGGAATGGCATAAGGATATAAAACTTGACATTTCTTTTTTGTTGTTGTTGTTGAGATAGACTCTTGCTCTGTCACCCAGGCTGGAGTACAGTGGCGTGATCTCAGCTCACTGCAACCTCCACCTCCTGGGCTCAAGCGATTCTCCTGCCTCAGCCTCCCGAGTAGCTGGGATTACAGGCACCCGCCACCATGCCTGGCTAATTTTTGTATTTTTAGTAGAGACGGGGTTTCCCCATGTTGGCCAGGATGGTCTCAAACTCCTGACCTCAGGTGATCCACCCACCTTGGCTTCCCGAAGTGCCAGGATTACAGGCATAAGCCACCACGCCCGGCCAAAACTTGACATTTCTAATGCACCAAAGAGGAGTTAACCCCATGACCAACACCATATTTTAAGTCTAAACGGCAAGGACATCCTAAAAAGCATTGCCATGAAACAACTCCTCAGAGAGTGAGGAAGGCTTAACTCATGACTCCTTTAAACACGTTATGCGTAATACAACAATAGCAGTAACTACTCTGGAATGGTGAACTTTTTTTTTAATTGGGCTATGAGAGGTCATACACTCTCTTCCAAGGCAAGCAGCAGTCATTTGCGTAATTGTGCAAAAGGCACTCTTTCTGATGTGATGCCAAAAGATTGACATGATGAAAAGCATACTTTATAGATGACCTTCTATAACTGACTAACATCAATTGATTAACAGTACATATTCCTACTCAGAACATGTACGACATTCATTTCTGAAACAGATGATTCTATTTACTTCTCATCTTCAGTCTTATTAGTTCCAACACAGGGATGATAGAGCTTCGACTTCATAGATTTGTTGGGAGGAAGACGTACGATACAACATGCTCAGAAAAATTTGTTGGCAGTTGGCATATTGCAAGAAGGCAATAAATTTTAGCTGCTATTGTTGCTATTATTGTTGTTTGTGAAGCTATTGAGAACATTATCAAAAAAAGGTAATGTTCTGGCCGGGTGTGGTGGCTCATGCATGTAATCCCAGCACTTTGGGAGGCTGAGGCAGGCAGATCACCTGAGGTCAAGAGTTCGAGACCAGCCTGACCAACATGGAGAAACACCATCTCTACTAAAAATACAAAAAAAAAAAAAAATTAGCCAGGCGTGGTGGCACATACCTGTAATCCCAGATACTTGGGAAGGCTGAGGCAGCAGAATCGCTTGAACTCGGGAGGCAAAGGTTGTGGTGAGCCGAGATCACGCCATTGCACTCTAGCCTGGGCAACAAGAGCAAAACTCTGTCTAAAACAAAACAAAAAGGGTAACGTTCTGTTGAAAATTGTCATCTTTGAAAATTAGTAATGGCTACCATTTTTAAACACCCATCAAATCTCAAGCATTACATTAGTGATATTTAGACACATTATCTCTAATCCTTGCAAGAATAACACAAAAGTATTAAGATACCAATTTCAAAAACAAGAAAACTGAGACTGAAATACATTAAATAATTTGCCCAAGGTCATAGAACTACTTAAAAATTAATTTTCAACAAATAAATAAAGGAGTTCTCAGGTAGGCAAAGGCTTAGTTTTGATGTCATTATTCTTGTCTCTGATTGTGTCCACTCACACATGGGTATTTGTGTGTACACACGTGTGTTCACACACTCCAAAAGCAGCACAGCATATTGAAAACTGTATGAGCTTTGGAGTTCAACAAACATGAATTTACACACAGTGTCCAGGGCTTGCTGGCTATATGACCCTCTCTGCATATCACTGTCTTTAACTGTAGAAGTTGCTGAATAACTAAAATCCAAACATTCCCTCATCCTCAATCATATATTTGGAAATATTAAACCCAAAGTGTTTCCATCTTGTTCTAAAAAACTCTGTAAGCATCAGGGTACTGAAGCAACTTCAACTCTTTCAGTGCTGTTGTGTCTGAGCATTACTACATTTTAGTTATCACATACAAACTCATAATAGAAAAGATGTTCAAGATTGTC
Organism: Homo sapiens; assembly: GCF_000001405.40. Classification (NCBI taxonomy): domain Eukaryota; kingdom Metazoa; phylum Chordata; class Mammalia; order Primates; family Hominidae; genus Homo; species Homo sapiens. Next base: position 63,245,285 of record NC_000014.9, read on the forward strand.
TTGCTTCATTAAAAAAAAAAGGCAGAAAACACAACTGACTACATCAATACACAGGGTATACTATTTAAAAAATTCTCTTGGCCGGGTGCACTGGCTCACACCTGTAATCCCATACTTTAGGAGGCTGAGGAGGCAGGAGAATGACTTGAGGCCAGGAGTTTGAGACCACCATGGACACCATGCAACATAGCAAGACCCCATCTCTATTAAAAATTTAAAAATTAGCCAGACATGGTGATACATGACTGTAATCCTAGCTACCTGGCAGGGGGCTGAGGAGGGAGGATCACTTAAGCCCAGGAGTTTGAGACCGCAGTGAGCTATGATTGTGCCACTGTACTCCAGGATGACAGAGCAAGACCCTGTCTCAAAAAAAGAAAAAAAGGGGAGTGGAGGGGTTATAACTGTACAAATCTGATCTTAGACCAATGTATAAATCTGGAACTATGATCTCTTTGTTGGTAAATGCTTACAAACTGAAGGGTCTGGGACACTGCAAAAATCCTTAACTAACCATGGATGCTACTCGATAGAAGACGTCCACAGGTGCAGTGGCCCAGGCCATCAGAGTCATCAGAAGAAGGGGGTGATTAGAGCCCAAGCTTTGAATTCACACAGACCTGAATTCTAATCCTGGCTCTGTCACCTATTAATCAGGTAATGGATGTTATTATTAGATGATTTATGACCTTGTCATAAACCCAAAGGAGACTCCATAGTGCAAGGATTCCTGGTGTTTCAAAGACCCGGCTTAGGAGTCTCCTGATTCCCCTCCTCCACCCCAGCTGTCTCCTGGCAACAACCCAGGTTGCTGGGCCAAGCTCCAGAGAAGGGCACAACCCCATGTCTGGTTCCCATCACCTTCTTAACTACTCACTTTCTCCCTCCTCTCTCTCACATCCTCTCTACTCACCACTCATTTCTAACCCACTACCTTTCACTACAGTCTTGGAAATATTTCTCTCTTAATCTCAGGCAATTTCTTTTCCCTCCCATTTCATGTATAAGTAAACAGCACAACCTACAACAAAAACAAAGATAAAAATTAAAAGTCTAGAGTGTTCAGGGAAATTGGGCTTAATAATAATAAGCATCCAGAGGTTTTCTTCGGAATCTCTATAAAAACCACATCGTAGGTAAAGCCTGGACTTTGAAACCAGACAAACTGGTGTTCTATTCTCAGCTCCAACTCTTACCACTACTGTGTTCTTGGAAAAATTACAAAACCTGAGACTCTTTTTTTCCTGTACTATTAAAGTAAGAAATTAATGAGATAATTCACATAAAGCACTTGGTACAGTGCCTACAAGGTAAGCATGCCATGAACATTAGCTATTATTCATATGATTCTCTCTCTCCTCCTATTTCTTGCACCTTGTTTTTCTTTGACCACTAGGATTGAAAATAAAATTTTCACAATTTTTTCAAGGTAACAGTATGTAGAGTAAGAAAACCTTCTGTTTTGCTATATATTTATAAGAAGTCAGCTTTACTGTGCACTATTGTGAGCCAGCCTAGGAATCTAAACGTAGAAGTGACGAGGAATGGAGGGTGGGCAGCTAAATATATTCCAGGTTCCAAATTCAGCTTGACAAACTAGATCACAACCTGTTTACAGGTTTATGAGAGGGGGCTTCAGAGTCAGCCCTTAGTGGAAATAGGGCTTTAATTCATTAATTCATTAATCCATTTTAACTGTTCCCCACATTCTTACCCAGCTCCATTTTACAGATTTTGAGACAGAACTGGAAGGGGATTCAGAACAAGTCTGGAATCAGAAAGACATGGAGCTAGGCTGGGAGGCTTCTAGGAGAGAAAGGAATCTTGGCCTTGATCTTGGGTGAAGAATGAAGAATGGAGTAGCCAGAGCAAAGACTAAGAAAAAGTTGGTAGAATTGTGTTGAAATAATACACAAGTTTTCTCAGTGTAAACAGTAAGTAGTATGTGGGCTCTTTTGACCCTCAACAAGTCCCTTAAGCAATGAACTTGGAAGAACAGCCTTCTAGAACAGCACCTCCAGTGGTGTTTCCCTGCTCACCAAATGTATCTGAGCTTTCAAAGCATGGAATTTGAAATTAAAACCTTTCTTTTCAGGCTACCCTCTTTTCATCATTCTTCCATTTCTACTTTTCTCTTTCCTGTAGCCCTACAATCTAGTGTGTTCTAGTGAGTAGGTGAAAAAAAATATACAGAAAAAATAAAGAAACTATAATCTTAGAAGAAATGATGGACATTTTCATTGTAAATTCTCTTGGAAGAGACTACTAAGTTTCTATTAACAAATGCAAACTATCCTTATTCCCACTTATGAAAGTAAATTGTCTCCTTCTCATATTTGAATGTGCCCTTGGGTAGAATAATGATAGGGGCATCATCATGGCTTTTGGTAGGATCTGTTTTGCCTTCTTCTCACCTATTGGTTATGTGTGAAATAAGATAAATTCCTCATATAATGTATAGCCCCTAATCAAGTATTGTATTAGTCTGTTTTCATGCTGCTAATAAAGACATACCCAAGACTGGGTAATTTAAAAAGAAAAAGAGGTTTAATGGACTCACCGTTCCACTAACCGGGGAGGCCTCACAATCATGGCAGAAGGCAAAGGGCATGTTTTACATGGCAGCAGGCAAGACAGAGAATAAGAGCCAAGTGAAAAGGGAAACGCCTTATAAAACCATCAGATCTCATGAGACTTATTCACTACCATGAAAACAGTATGGGGGAAACTGCCCCCATAAATCAATTATCACCCACTGGGTCCCTCTCACAACATGTGGGAATTGTGGGAGC